>NC_000001.11:241487151-241638667 GCF_000001405.40 Homo sapiens | reverse complement strand
ATTTGAACAAACATTTGAAATTTAGGGAGGGGACTGCAAGTGTATGTAGGCTGTGGTATGGACGACTATGGGATTACACTCCTTATATTAATTGTAAAATACCTATCAGGCAGTTTCTTCGGCAATGCTAAGAAGGTTATTCAAGCCCAAGCCTAAAGTATCATCAGTAGTGTTCTCCAGGGTAGTCAACAGGTGTTTGTTCACAGACATCAAAGTTCTTTTTTCCTTGAAGTGCCTTTTCTGTGCTGGAAAATTCTGTTTTCGTGCCCGGGAGTTTGAACACAAGGGTGTACTGAGTTCTTTATAAGTGCTAGCTGTCATCCACCCTCTTCCTCACCTCTTTCCTCTGCTGATCCCACCCTCCTGTGTCTCCTGGTCACTTCTCCCTTCCTGTTTTTCTTCTTCACCATCCCTCCTAGGGTCCCAGCCCAGTGATTTTCTAAGTTCACTTAGATTTTTGCCTGAGGGCTGCCCTATTTTTCAGGGCATTTAGTGCTTTCAACCATGACTTTCTCCCTGTTTTTAATGTAGAGGTGGAAACCCTGAGATAAGAGATTCCGAGACTTAAGCCCTGGGGGGCAAGTTAGTAGTGAAGTTACTATAGAGTTTAAAAAGTTTTTAGCGAAGATGATTTCTTTGCCTGGAGTAAATTCCGGAGTTTGTGCTTCTAGATCCAGGTTAAGGATGAAGAAAAGGAGGGCACTTCCTGAGTTATCCCTGAGCAAGAACTACCTAACAGTGGAGTATTGAAGGGGAGGAAGTTAAAAATGAGGGAAGTAGCTTCTTGATGCAGAGGCTTTTGGAGAGGCTTGCCCTATCTGTTGGAAAGACCATTGGTCTGATGGCACAAGAGTGGATCCTGTTCCTTATCCTGCGACTCATGCATTGTGCGGGCTTTCTCAAGTCACTTAATCTCTCCAGCTATCAGTTCTCTCATCTCTATTATTGGGTAATTCAGCTTAATGCTCTGTAAGGCCATCCTACTTGCTTTGCATTTTGATGACCCCTTTGATATCTGTAGGTTAGAACGTGCCTGATCTTAGCGCTTATTGATTGTGTCTTCTGCTCCTACTCCTACCCTGAGCCCTGTCTTTCTAAGCCAAGAAGCAGCATGTACTATGGTTACACCTCTTCAGATACCATCATAGATTCAGTCTCCATCTTCACACCCTGCTGGAAGAAGCAGAATAAGTAATTCAGACATACTTATATTTATACTTGAGTGGGCCAGGCAACTGCTGCATTCTGTACTTAGTTCCTGGCTTCTTAGGGAATGCCAAAAATGAGTGGAATCCTTGATATTTTTGAGACAGAGGCTTTGACTAGACAGGACTGTTAGGATTGCCATTTTAGTTAAACTAAAGGTGTGTGCCCTATGCAATTTAATCTAAGTTCCAATTGAATGGCTTGTTTTTCCAGTATCCAGGATTATTAGTCATCTTGGGCTAGACAGGTACAGCTTGTACTGATTTATATTTCAGTAGGTTTAACAGTAGTGAAAACCAGAGCTCAAAACTGTGCAATGATGAATATTAGAAAGTTTAGCAGTATTGTTGCTTTAGCCTAAAGACTTTCAGGTGAGTATGCTCTTCAGCACCTTGGCCTTTCTACCTCTGGCCACACAGGGCATCACACAGATGTCTTCCGCACATGGAATGTAACCAGCATTATGCTCAAAGTTAACAGGAGAACCTTATTATTTTTTTTTTTTTAAACTTCCCCTTCAAAAATAAGAACAAACAGTGTTAGTCTTGGCAGAGGATGTTTAGATAGACCTTTTGCTTGGGATGCAGAGATTCAGGGTTGCAGAGACAGTGGCGAAATGCAAACATCACTGTATTCAAATGTTAGAAGTAGGTATTATTTATGTTAAGATATTTTAATATGAAATCAGAAGTTTTCCTTTTTTACTTACACTTACACACTTTTTTCCTTTATTACTTATATGCATGTGTACATTCATATAATATTTTTAATACATTTTCCTCCTCAGGGCTATTATGAGCCTAAATATTTTTAAATGGCCAGTTGTTTTACTGAATTAATCCTTTTGTAATAATCTGACTAGTAATTGAGTAGAAATAGTCTCATGTTGCTACCATGAGATCCTAAGGGTGGTTGTGGCATGGAAAGGTCTTATATTCAGCTGTTCTGGAATCACACATAGACTGTAATGGCCACAGAAATATTTTGAATCATGGCAGTATGCACATAGTTTATAATCTGTTTCTATAAACAGTGGAGCCATGCGTTCCTTTTAGTCTAAGCTCACAGCTGTGTATAGATTTATTCACATGATAGTTTTCTTAAAAGCTAAAGTTAGAGAATTGTATTATGTTATTTCTTCTTTATTTTTGTGGAACATTATGTTCATTCTCTATTACTATGTTGCCTGATTCTTGGGAGGGCTGTTATATCTCTATTGTCCATTCTCAAGAAATTAGAAAATATGTGAGAAAGCATTTAAGACATGCTTTAGTAGAGGTTTATGTCCAAATAAGATGTCACACTCCAATGGATTGTCATTGTTGCATGAAATTATTTTTCTCTTATATTGTTTACAATGTATTCTTTCTTGAATTTTCTTCTTTCAGAGAAGAGTTCCAGTCACAAATGCATATATGATGCATTTTGACATTTACTGCTAAGATGAAATGCAGAAATGAAACCACACATCCATTTTAGTATTCTCAGATGTGATTAGATGTACTTGCTCATGTTTTTATGCTACTGACTTATAAGAAAAAAAATATTTTAAAAGGGTAACCGTTAAACAGCTAGGACCTGCAACTTCAGTGCTTCTGGGATAACTGGAACATCAGAAGGACAGATTTTATTACAGCATAATCACACCTCATTTCTTTCATCAGCAGTTGTCACCAGACGCTGTTACTTCCTAAAATGGCGGACAATCTTCCCACAGAGTTTGATGTGGTTATAATAGGGACAGGTTTGCCCGAATCCATCCTTGCAGCTGCATGTTCAAGAAGTGGTCAGAGGGTTCTGCATATTGATTCAAGAAGCTACTATGGAGGAAACTGGGCTAGTTTCAGCTTTTCAGGATTGCTATCCTGGTTGAAGGAGTATCAGCAAAACAATGACATTGGGGAAGAAAGTACTGTTGTATGGCAGGACCTGATCCATGAAACAGAAGAAGCCATCACTCTTCGCAAGAAGGATGAAACTATTCAACACACAGAAGCTTTTTGCTACGCCAGTCAGGATATGGAGGACAACGTTGAAGAGATTGGTGCTCTGCAGAAAAATCCTTCTTTGGGGGTGTCTAATACCTTCACTGAAGTTCTGGATTCTGCATTACCTGAAGAAAGCCAGTTATCGTATTTTAATAGCGACGAAATGCCTGCAAAACACACTCAGAAAAGTGATACAGAGATTTCACTAGAAGTAACTGATGTAGAGGAATCAGTGGAGAAGGAAAAGTATTGTGGAGATAAAACTTGTATGCACACAGTTTCAGATAAAGATGGAGATAAAGATGAAAGCAAATCTACAGTAGAAGATAAGGCCGATGAACCAATTAGAAATAGGATTACTTACTCTCAAATAGTTAAAGAAGGCAGGAGGTTTAATATTGATTTGGTGTCAAAACTGCTGTATTCTCAAGGATTGCTAATTGATCTTTTAATCAAATCAGATGTTAGTCGTTATGTAGAATTTAAAAATGTCACTAGGATTCTTGCATTTCGGGAAGGAAAGGTAGAACAAGTTCCTTGTTCCAGAGCAGATGTCTTTAATAGCAAGGAACTCACCATGGTTGAAAAGAGGATGCTAATGAAATTTCTCACATTTTGTTTAGAGTATGAACAACATCCTGATGAATACCAAGCTTTCAGGCAGTGTTCATTTTCAGAATACTTAAAAACTAAAAAACTAACTCCCAACCTTCAACATTTTGTACTGCACTCAATTGCAATGACATCAGAATCATCTTGCACTACAATAGATGGTCTTAACGCAACTAAAAACTTCCTTCAGTGTCTCGGACGGTTTGGCAACACCCCCTTTTTATTTCCCTTGTATGGCCAAGGAGAAATTCCCCAGGGTTTCTGTAGGATGTGTGCAGTTTTTGGTGGAATCTATTGTCTTCGTCATAAAGTACAATGCTTTGTAGTCGACAAAGAATCTGGACGATGTAAAGCAATTATAGATCACTTTGGTCAAAGAATAAATGCTAAATATTTTATTGTGGAAGACAGTTACCTTTCTGAGGAAACATGCTCAAATGTGCAGTATAAGCAGATCTCTAGGGCAGTACTCATTACAGATCAGTCTATACTAAAGACAGATTTAGATCAGCAGACTTCCATTCTGATAGTTCCTCCAGCAGAGCCAGGAGCTTGTGCTGTACGGGTCACAGAATTATGTTCTTCAACCATGACATGCATGAAGGACACCTATCTGGTACATTTGACATGTTCATCTTCTAAAACAGCAAGAGAAGACTTAGAATCAGTGGTGAAGAAATTATTCACTCCGTATACTGAAACAGAAATAAACGAGGAAGAACTTACAAAGCCAAGACTCTTGTGGGCTCTTTATTTTAATATGAGAGATTCCTCGGGAATCAGCAGAAGCTCGTATAATGGCTTGCCTTCCAATGTTTATGTCTGCTCTGGGCCTGACTGTGGCCTGGGAAATGAGCATGCTGTCAAGCAAGCTGAAACACTTTTCCAGGAGATCTTTCCAACTGAAGAATTCTGCCCTCCACCTCCAAATCCAGAAGACATTATCTTTGATGGTGATGATAAGCAGCCAGAGGCTCCTGGAACCAATAATGTAGTAATGGCCAAACTAGAATCCTCTGAGGAAAGCAAAAACCTAGAAAGCCCAGAGAAGCACCTTCAAAATTAGAAAAGAGCAATCTCGAAATGCTGTTTTGGACCTCCTTCATGGCATCAGAATTTTCTCATTTAAAGGACAGTTTCCCATATGAGTAATTAGAAGTGGTTATATATGATGAATGCTATGCAGATGTTGTCTTTAACTCTCAGACATTCAGCATTGAATATCTTTGTTAACCTATCAATGAGTGATTTATTGATTATTGAACATTTTGTTTAGAATGGGCTATATGACCCAGAATCTTAAAACAGAGTTAGCTTTATTTTAGTATTGGGTATATATGTAAGGGTTCCATATTAGCAACTCAGCTTAAAGGTAATGTATTTGCTAATGATCTTCAGATTTTATCTTTGTCTACAGAACAATTAGTAATACCCAAGTAATATTTTAATTACTTTTGCAGCTGTTACAGTTGCTGCGGCCTGTTCGAATAGTGAAACATACACAAATGGTAAATTATGTGGATCTTTTGCATATAATATAAATGTATAGACATGGTGGTAGGAATAGCAACTAATACAAATGCCAATATGATAATAAAATACATTTGTCTATAATCGTTTAAAGATTAGCTTTGCATGATCCTTTATGCACTGTGAAGGTCTGAAGTTTATAATACTCACTTGACCCTTGTAACTGATGAGGCAATGATGCCACCACAGTATTCTAATTTACAAAAAGAATTGGAGTTCAATTAGTGGTTGTAAAGCTCATTTTGGGGAGGTTGATTGCAAAGGAAATTTGAAAGATAAGATTTATTCTTATTTAATACTTCAGAAAATTTCTGCAGAGCCCTGCCCTGGCACTTAAAATAGCTTCCAATAAGTAACTTAGACCAAAAGGAAAAATGAAGTGCCCCAGGAGAAGATACTTCAGAAGGGCTGTTCTGAAATTCCTAAGGAGGAATTCTTAGGAATTCCTAAGGAGAAACAGAGTGAGGCCTTTTTAACCTGAGATTACAGATACTTATAAAACCCTCTATAAATAGATTACCCAAGGTTTTTCAGTGAGAATGAAACATACCACCTTGTTGGCTCTACCACTTTAATTAATATCACTATAACATAACTGATAGGAATGAATCAAAGGAGGATTTACCATGCCCTTTCGGTTGTGTCCCACTTAACAAATTGTGAAGTAACAATTTTCTGTAATCTCTCTTGCCTCTTAGCTGTTATCCAGAGTATAGAAACTTTTTTTCTCCCAGAGCCACCCAACGTCATAAAACTGGTAGTACTCTAATGGTGAAAACCTGTGGAGCTGTCAGAAGACATGAACTTGCTTTTCCTCTAGTCCAGTTTCCATTCTTCAGTCAGAGTATGATGATCCCTGTGACAGTTTTTGCTCTGAAATAGTATTTATCATGTGTTTGGTACCTAGTATTATGCTTTCTCATGACAGTTTCTCAACAATCCTGTGAGGCAAATTCGCATGTACCCTCTGTATTAGTGTGTTCTCATGCTGTTGATAAAGACACACCTGAGATGGTAATTTGTAAAGAAAAAGGTTTAATGGACTCACAGTTCCATGTGGCTGGGGAGGCCTCACAATCATGGTGGAAGGTGAAAGGCACGTCTTACATGGCGGTGGACAAGAGAGAATGAGAACTAAGTGAAAAGGGAAACCCTTTTAAAACCATCAGATATCGTGAGACTTATTTACTACCATGAGAACAGTATGGGGGAAACAACTCCATGATTCAGTTATCTCCCACCAGGTTCCTCCCACAACACGTGGGAATTATAGGAGCTACAATTCAAGATGAGATTTGAGTGGGAACACAGCCAAACCATATCACCTTCAAAGAAGAAATAAGAGAATTATTAGTAATTTGCTCAGAATCTGGTATGTGGAAGAGCCAACATGGGGACCCAGCCTTTTGTGATTCTAAAACCTTTGATCTTTCTACTAACATTCACTGTTAGAGAGTGTAGGCGCTGCAGGAGAAAGAGAAAGTGCCCACGAAAATTAGTCTAGCATTGCCGGGGGTAAAAAGCACACACTGGTCCTGCAGCTTATTGAATCAGAGAAATGTGAAGATAAGATGAACTAAACAAACATATTTTAGAGCATGGATCTCGAAGCAGAATTTGGCTAAATTTTAACAAAATGTTCTTCAGTAACACATCTCATGATCTGAAGATTGTGTTACAAAAAATATTATCAGGCCAAAATTTGTTCGGAATACACTAATTTTTGCTCCTCTATATGTGAGGAAAATGAGACTAGACAGATTTAAGTAATTGACAACTTACTTAAAGTAGCAAAGTCATGGATTGTATTGACTTTTAAAAATATAGTAAAAGTCATATTTAAACTTTATCCTAAAGTTTAAATCTAACAGAACAACTGAAATACTTGAAATAGACCTATAAAATAGTAATTAAAATGAGAAATACATAAGATGATAAATAAAATGAAGGTGAAGGTATTCCAGATCTACCGAAAAGATTTTCAGTATCACAGATTATTCATAAGAAATTGAGAAAAGGAACAATCAGAAGTTGCAAAAGATGGTATAGCCGAATATAATGGAAATAGGAAAAATTAGTCGAAAATAAAGGTTGATTTAGAAATGAAGAAAATGAATATATTTCTTAATACAAAATAAGTGGGAAATGAGAAGTTATACCAATAAAAAGCATTTAAAAATTTAGGGGATATTGTAACCCAGTATAATTTTCTGACAGGTTGGACTTTGACCCTAATGGACTTACTGGTGAACTTTTTCAAATGTTTAAATAATGTCTATCCATGTATCATGAAGGACAGTATGCTTCAAATTGTCTTTTGAGGCAGACATGTTCTCAGTACTAAAAGACATTTTTAGAAGGATTTTATTCTCAACAGATGCAAAATGCAAAATAAAATATTGGCAAACAATACAGCAACAAATAATTTACTATCACTCAGGATTATAAGGCTGGTGTTAAGCAGAACAGCCATTAAATCAGCATCAAAAGAACAAATAGTAAAATCCAAAGTATTAATTACAGATAACTTTTCAAAAATTCATCATTCACCCTTGATTTAATTATTTCTCTGGCAATGATTTAATAGACTTCTCGGAGTCTGTTAAGTACTTAAACCAAGAACTACCATTATTCCTACTGGGAAAACATAAACATTTCTCAAGTGGAAAGT
The DNA here is from genome assembly GCF_000001405.40 of Homo sapiens. Lineage (NCBI taxonomy): Eukaryota > Metazoa > Chordata > Mammalia > Primates > Hominidae > Homo > Homo sapiens. Next base: position 241,630,660 of record NC_000001.11, on the reverse strand, counting down.
AAACAGTGTTGGCACTATTTTTATATATGGTTAAAGAGACCTGTCATTGCAATAAAAGCCAGCATTCACAAAATGAGGAAGATAAGGAAAGTAGCATAAATATTTTCTATTAACATGGCTTTACAACTGCTAAAACTTATAGTATAAAAATGTACTAACAAAGACTAATTCAAGAAGTTGCAGGATACACAATTTTTAAAAATCTCATTTCTACATCTTAGCAGTGACAAACTGCAATTTAAAAAGTGTGTTTGGTTATTAATATATATGAGACTTTTAAAGAAAGTTATATAACTACATAGAGATAAATTAAGAAAGATGCCTAAATAGAAGCAAGTTTAAAGAGCTATATTTTTAAACATGAACAAACTCCCATGGGAGCCATGCCAGTGTAGTGGAAAAGTAGTACATGGGGAGATGGGGAGTTTTTTTGAAAACCAGAATTACAGTTCTCATTTCACTACTTACCAGTTGTATACTCTTGGGAAAGTCACTCCTAGTATCTATTTCACCATCTACAGAAGAGAAATACTTCACAGAATTATTGTGGGGATTAAGTTAGATAATGTGTTTTAAAATATAAAGCTACATCCAAAGAAATGCCAATATGTGACATTAGTATGAAATTTACTACAGTTCCATTTAACATTCCAACTGGTTGCTGTGTGGAATATGGCATAATTGTAATAAATTATTTAGGAAAGCAAGCAAAGATGTAAGTTTTTTTAATTTAGGGGGAAAAAATGGGAGCCTTGCTCTCCAAATCCTTAAAACATGCTATTAAGCAACCTTTCTGAATATTCTGTGGTGCCAAGTAGAAAGTTTAACTGAAATTAATAAGCCAATGGAAAGAAAGAAATATTAATAACTGCTGGTGGAAAGACTAGCTAGATGTCAGTGTGGAAAGATTAGATCCACTTTACATGTGATATTCCAAATGAATTAAAATGTTAAGTATAAAAAGAAAAATACTACAAGTCTCACACCAATAGTGGTATAAAGGAACTTCATGGCAATTGGCAAGGTAGATCAACTAAGAGAAAAAGTTTTAAATGTGTAGTAAATAGGAAAAAGACAAAACAAGATGGAATTTAAAAGAAGCTATTTGCATTACACATGGATGCACTCAGTTTTTGTAAAACTATATGCATATCCATAAGGGTTTGTACTCTTAGGCAAATTTATAAAGCGATCGTGTATAAATGATATAAAAAATCAATTTGAATGGTATTCAAATTTCCTAATATTAAAAATGCAACTTTGACTTAGTTCATGCTATTGTATTAGCAAAACTGTTTTAATTGCATGTGTCCTTATAGCAGCAGCATTGTGTATTAGTAGCCTTTTAAGAGAACTGTGTAGAAGACTATAAAAAGGGCTTTATAACTGATCTTTTGACATACTCACTTTGAGTGGCATATGCCCAGGAAAATATTTAAAAGAAAGAAAAGCTATTTGTACAAAGTTTTCTAGCAGTTCCACTCAGATAACTTTAAGGGGGAAAAAAGCCCAACGATTGGAAATGGTTAAGTAAATTTTGGTGTATTGCTAGTGCTATCACAGAATGTTATATAGCCATTCAATAATATTGATATATGTCAAATTGTATGCAAAAAAGTGAGATTCAAAAATGTTAATAAGAACATAAATTGTGTTTACTGATACATGTGAAAATTTAGGTCTACATTGAAAAGAATCAGAAGATAACATGTAATTCAGTTTAACATTAGGGGTTCTTTATTTTTCTTCTGTTAAATATTGATGTATGCAATAAAAAATAAAAGATTAATTGGTAAAGTGGTTTACTGAACTGGTGAGAAAATTACTGATTTCTTAGAAGTTTCTAAAATTCTATTTTAAATTAAAATATACATTTCTAGGTGTTAAAGTCAAAAAAGATCATCTTCAGATATGTGTGGCAGAAAGTTTTACAAATCTTGGTGGGGAGGAATTCTTGGTCAAGATGGACTTCATAATTTATTTTTTCTTAGTTGATCACCATTAAGGAATAGTAATAGAAATATTAGTAATACATTCTAGGACATCAGCATGAAGACGTCATATACTAATTAAAGTATGCCCCTAAATGCAAACATGTCACTTGGGAATCTTAAAAACCGTGGAGATGAAAGTTGGATTCATAGATGTGACCGAACCTGGTTTGCAGAGAGACCTGTGCGAAGGCCAGATCTTGGGGGACTGAGGATGCGACAGACCCTTTCTTCCAGTCAGCGTGAGAGATCCAAATCAAGGTGATTTAATTTAATAAGCATCCATTGAACACCTACTGTGGGTTATGAATTGGCATTATTCTGGGAAATTAGAGATACAAAAATAAGTGCTCTGTACCTGACAAACATTCTGTTGGAATGTTTTCCTTAAGGTAAGGTACCTTTTACCTTAATGAGCATTTAAAACATTTTTTACCCGTCTCACTCCCCACTGTAACTAGCACTTCCTGTTTCCTGGCAAAAGAAAAAACAAAACAGAAGTCTCTGCCTTGTGCACGGCATCCCTTTTAAAAGGTGCCAAAACTCACTACACAGTTGAAAACAGGTGGCTTAAAGGTTAAAAGCCGAATCGTTTAACACTCTCCGAAGTCTATTTCGGATGACATTCAGTGAGTTAAGTTTTTCACATTAATCAGAAACTTTTTCTTTTGCCTGGGGAAGGAGCCAAGAGGAGCTCTAGGGGATTGGGTCTAGAAGCCCAGGACATCAAGGGCTTAGGGAGAGGAAGTATAAAGAAATTCGATCATAAAGTTTCAATACCAAGAAATTCTGATTAAGATTAATTTTATTTGCCTTCATCTTGATGGATCAAGTGAAAGTCATGCTCCTGTTGCGTAAAGGTGGCTGCTTCCTCTGAAAATTTTCAGATTTTTATTTTAGTATTTTTACCTTCATTATAAAGAGGTATTTGTAGTGTAGTTCATTTCCTTTTAACCAGCAACCAAATGTATTCACATTTCAACAGCAGGGGGCACAGTACTTCCAGCTTTCTGTAAGGCACGAACAGTACAAAAGCTGAGTGATTCACCTGAAAGAATTTGGCTATAACAAAAATATATGACAACAGTTCTGCTCCAGCACTTGTAGGAATACTTTTCTCTTGACAACTACATTTTCTTATGTGATCCTCAGGACAACTGTGTAAGGTAAGAAAGGGCAGGTATTTATACCAGTTTCTTTGTAGATAAAACCTGGAGGAGTTAAGTGACTTGCCTGGACTCTCCTACTTTGTATTGAGACCCATTAATGAGAAATGAAATGCTACTGTTTCGCTTTGCTTGCATCTCAAGAGTGATTTATTACATGTAAGAATATGTAACACATAAAGCACTATTTAAAAAGTGGTGGCTTCTGGAACTTTAGATTGGCTTTTCAACAAATAGCGAAATAATCCTATAAATTACAGTTTTTATAATTATAATAAAATGGGCCAACTCCGATTGAAAGAGAAGGGAGTTAAGTTCACTCCTGAAATCAGAAAAACGATCTCTTTATTCTGATATGTCGAGCTTAAAATCTTTATATATAATACCTTCATTGGTCCCTGCTGATGTCCTATGATTCTTGGCATTTGCTTGTTGCTAAATATATATTTAATTCTAATACACTCTGGACAACTATTTAATATTAAGGCATACACATCAGAGGAATGACTGGATTCAGAGGTGCAGGGTTGACAAAGTGTAGCAGGAAGATGAATACCTGATTATAATTCAGTCAGAATGAGATACATATTTAGGCATTTTATAGTTTAATCCTTGAGGATACTAGTACAGTGTGTTTTATGCCATTTCTTTTTATTATACATCATATAATTAAAGCCCTTGAGTTCTCTATTGCTGCTCATTTGAGACTCTTACTTGTTCCGTATTCATCTCTGACATAAAAGTAAATATTACCCAGTATGGGGAAACTTTATTTTTTATCATTACTATAAGTTAATTTTACTATATTTGTAAGTTAAGTTTACAGTTAAAGCTTGTGTAACCATTGCAGTATTTTACCAGCTTTAAAGGAAAAATTTGGGGGAATGTATGGCTGAGGAGGTGCTTGGAGTCTTGTTTTTAGGCAATTAATAATACAGTTAATTTCCTAAAATGATTTAAGTGAAGTATTATGGAGAAATGAGCTGTACATTGTTCTGTTCTCATTTTATAAATACATAACATTGGTAATGACCCCTGCTGTTGAAACATAAGTACCAACCAGATAGAAAAGTAAAAAGCAAAAGATGAGAATTGCACTGGAAATAGTTTGTCAGGAGATTGTAATCTCCTTTCAAACAAAGACTATGTGTATGGTACCTCTGCATTCCCTGGAATTGCTTACATTTCACAGGTACCCCCCCGCAACGATTTGCTAATTGAAAGACCAGCTAGCAGTTTCCAGTGGCTCTTTTCTTCCATGTCATCCTCTTGCCTTCACACTGTTCTAGGTTCCAACCTGAGGAACAGAGGACCACTAGGACCCATCTCTGGTAAAATATATCGCAATCATAGTCCTGGCTTCTTGTATTATTAGTACAGATCATTAGTTTTAGGGTAAGCCTATATGAGTCAATAAAGCTACTTAAAAATAGTACACATTTAGATATAAGAGGTTCCATCTAAATAATTTTGCTAATTTTCTCCCATTAAGGCAGTGATTTTTAAACCAGAGTGTTTGGCCTTTTATTGGCAAAGTCTGGAGACATTCTGGTTTTCACATCTGGGAATCAGATGCTACTGTCATTCAGTGGGTAGAGGGCTGGGGTGTTGTTCAACATTCTGCAATGCAGGTCAGCTCCCTCATAACAAAGAATTATCCAGCCCCAAATATCGATAAGCGCCAAGTTGAGAAAAACTGCACTAGAGCAAGTGTTGAATATTCATAAGGAGTCTGCTTTCTTCCTCAGGTTTTCTGACCCCTATCAGTGCTTCTTCAACAGGGTCATTGTTGATAGGAACTGCTGTCTTTGCTGCTCCCATATAGATCCCCCAGTTCCCCGCTACCTTCCCTCGCCAATCTTCACAGTGGCTTCCTTCTGGTGGTTTATTATAACACAGATTCCAAAACAAAAGTTTTGAATATGAGAGAATATTTTTCATCCTGCCCCAGTTTGGTATAGGTTTGAAATTTGCAATTTTTGGTATTTTTAAAATAATTTTATCCAGAAATACCGTTCCTCTGCAAAGCAATTATATTAATAGAAATGAGAGGTAATCTTTCTATGCATGGCAACTACCTCAAAATCAATGTAAAAACATTTTAGCATACTGTTTTTGGAAGGGGTGCTATTCACTTGACAGACTATTGGCAAATTAATCAAATTACACATATATAACAATAGTATGGCTTCGGAGAAGCCTATTCAAGACTAAATAAACCATCCATAATTGTACACACATTTGCACTCACTGGTGGTTCACCAAGCAATGAGATAGGCAGCAGCTTGGCATTTTATAGATGGGTGTTAACTATAGAAAATACTTAATTGCAATGGAATGAGTCAGTATGCTTAATGCAGATAAGAACTTTAACTAGACACTGCCAAGTGAAGCATAGGGTTCATTACAATGTAATATTTATTGAGCATGAACCGTGTCCCAGTTTCTGTGCTAGACTCTGGGATACAGAGATGAAATTGTAACTAACACTTAGCACTAACTGGATGCCAATGGTTGCTATATTTATTTTATGTTATCCTCATAAAAACCTAGTTGGGTAGGTATTTTATTATCCCCATTTGCAGATGGGTAAATAGACAATGTGAAGACAAAGAGCTTGACCAAGATCACACAGCTGGTAAGTGGTAGAAGTGGGCTTCAAACCCAGGCAGTTTGATTCCATAACCCCCAAGCTTGGTGCACATGCTATAGTGAGATGTGATGTGGTGCCTTCAGAGGTGTCCAGTGAAGTCCAGGAACACTGGTAACTGCTTCTGTGCCATGAACTGTTCTGATTTCTTCACACGTTTTATCTCAATTTTTAAAGCAGCTCTGTGAGGTAGGTATTAATGTTTCCATATGTAGATGAGAAATAAGGCTCAGTAACTCTCTGAAAGTCAGAATCTGTAAGTACTGGAACGCTCAAGCCATTGGGCCTGACATTGATGCACAATTAACCACCATATTAATCAGGCTGTGATCATTTCTGCAGTATATAAACAGAGTAGTCCTGCTAGGGAAATCTAGGAATGCTTCAAAAAAGAAAAGGTGTTTCTGCTTGGCCCTTATGGTTGAGAAGGATTTCCATGGGCTGATATGAGGAACAACACCCCATGTAGGAAGAATAGCAGAAACAGGCATGGAGGCATTGACACAGTCTGCATGGCTGGAGCATGGAGTGCCTGACCTGGCATCGGGAGGCAGGACAGGTGAAAGAGGGTCCACAGTGTCTGGAGCGTAGAGTGCCTGGCCTGGCGTGGAGAGGCAGGACAGGTGAAAGAGGGTCCACAGTGTCTGGAGCATAGAGTGCCTGGCCTGGCGTGGAGAGGCAGGACAGGTGGAAGAGGGTCCACAGTGTCTGGAGCATAGAGTGCCTGGCCTGGCGTGGGGAGGCAGGACAGGTGGAAGAGGGTCCACAGTGCCTGGAGCATAGAGTGCCTGGCCTGGCATGGAGAGGCAGGACAGGTGGAAGAGGGTCCACAGTGCCTGGAGCATAGAGTGCCTGGCCTGGCGTGGAGAGGCAGGACAGGTGGAAGAGGGTCCAGTGTCTGTAACCTTGAATAGCTTGCTAAGATTTGGGGGCTTTTATTCAGCGGATGAGGTACTGTGGAAAGTTTTTCTTGATAAGACTTATGTTTCAAAGGTTAGCCTGGTGACAGTGGAGAGGAGGCTGGGAAAAAGATGTGGATACTGGAGGCAAGGAGAAAGAATGTGATAAGGCCTGGATAGGGCAGAGCAAAGGGAATGAAAGAGGCAGAGAACAATTTGAAGACAGAAATACAGGATTTGGAAAATGTCTACATTACAAGTTAGGTAGAGAGGGAAAGAAATCGAGAATGTCTAAAATTTCAGTTTTGGTGTCTGAATGTATGTAATTCATTTAACTGGAAACAGGGTTTGAGGAAAAGCAAATGGATTTAGTTTTGGTCATACAGGGTGATCAGTAGATGGCTCTGGAAGGTCTTGGAGGGCTTTGTATGCCATTCTAAGGAATTCTGACTACTTTATCCTAGTGGAGAAGCACCTAATGGTATTAAATAAGGAAACAGATTGCATTTGCTTATCTTTGTGTCCATATGGAAGATGAATCGAGGAGAGGCAAGAATGGAGAAGGGTGATCAGACAGAAAGCTATTAAAACAGTTTGGCAAGAGCTGGTGAGAGTCTGAATTAGGGCAATAGTAGTCAGGACAACAAAGGACAGATTTGAGAACTGTTGAGATAAATTAGCCTGACTTAGTGATTGAGTGAATGAGAGTACTGCAAAAATGGAAGAGAAATCAGAAGAAAATTAATAGCTGTGGACTTGGTAATGCAAACATGGTGCCCTGCCTGATTTGGCATAGTAACTCCCACCCCTGGATTAGTCCTGAGCCAGAAAGAGTTTTTTTTGTTTGTTTTTTTTGTTTTTTGTTTTTTGTTTTTTTAAGATTTCTAGGTATAGACTCTTTAAAAAAAACAAACTTCCTGGGCTTCTGAAAGCTCAGGGATTTGAGTCAGAGCGTGCCAGTACTTTGATTGCCAGGGAGTCTGTCCAAATACAAAGAAACTAAGCCAGTGATGGGAGGAGAGAGCCAAAGCCCTGATGACATTGCTTCAGGCCTCTGGATGATGCGGCCCATATATTTCTACTGGACACTATGCTCGAAGCCAGTGCCACTTTGGACTTACCAGTTACATAAGATTACCCACTTACTTGCTCCTTAAAGGGAAAAAACATGCGGTATAGAAATAGCACATGATGCAGAAGAGAGAAGTGTTATAGAAGCCAAGAGGAATTTCAACAAGAGCGTGGGCCAAAGTGTTACCATTGCAAAGAGGCTGGGTGAAACCAATGTTTTAGCAATTGATTTATCAATTGTTGAAATTCTAGAACAATGGTTTTAAACTAAAGAGTGCTAATGAATTGAATGGGCACCTCTTTAAAATGTGGATCACCAGGCAGCACTCCTGCATTCTGGGCCAGTAGGTACACAGAGGACTATTGTAATCGATTGTTGGGTGGGTGGTGGGTTGTCATGCATTGTGACATAAATAAGAGGGAATCAAACAAGTATCAGATGATATGGTAGTGAGATTTAATTTCTCTTCTGGTGAGTATTTTGGCAAGTTATAAGAAAGCATTAAAATTTTGCACACCTTCTTACCTAACAATTATATTGTCAAGAATTTAACCTAAGGAGATAATCATGAATGCATATAAATATATAGCTACACTGATTATAATGTCCATAGCTAACACTTAGTGTGTAACATATGCCAAGTACTGTGATAAGAGCTTTATGCATATTAATGAACTCTATTTTTGTCTCAACTCCATGAGGTAGTTAGATATATCAGTACTCCATTTTACATTTAGAAAATTAAAGCACCAGGAGATTAATTTGTTCAAGGTCACACAAAAAGTGGAGGATATGAAACCTAAACCAGTGCCCTTGATCACTATGTCTCACTCTCTCTCCCCACAGCACTGTTAGGAGAGTGAAACATTGAAAGAAATTCAAAAGTCCACAGTTTGAAGCCTGAGAGAGCACATATTCCAGAAATCAACATACCACCAAGCAAATCATTCAGGACCTACACCCTGGAAACACTCTTTACCCTGCCTCTCCCCAGAAGTTGATCAGAACTGATCCCATAGTACCTCACATCCCTGCGAAAATCAGTTGATGCCAGAAGGGAAAACCTTTCCAGTTGGCCATGCCTGGGCTCACATCTCTTTATGACCCATTATACTTATTGATCTGTTCCAATCCTGAGCTTCCACTGGATCCTCCCTTCATGAGCCGTACACTCCCCTATAACTTCAACATCTTTGAACATTTCTCTACCTCCTTCCTTTAACTTAACCCTGGCTGCCCCCAAGAACCCTACTTTCCCACCTGTCCCAGCTGTGTTTTCCTTAACACCAGGTATACCCCAGTACCAGGTAGTAGAATAGGTGACTCATTAAATATCACTGCTGCTTCTGAGGCATTACTCCCTCATTCTATAAAACCCTTTGCTTCATCAACACTCTCCCAAGGTGAGGTTGCAAAATTGAACTCACATTTGTCACACAGATGTGCAGGGAATATAAAACTTTAGCTGTCACCTCTTGTTCACAGCCTTAACTCTCCTTTCTGGATCATTCCCATCAGTTGACAAGTCGAGTCACCATCCCCAGTTGTCCCTTGACTTATGACTGTCTGTATTCTTTCTTCAAAGAGCCAGTCTTCTGATTGTCTACTACTTGCACCTCCATATCCTCAGTGAATTTTATTTTGTAATTTACTTAAAAGCTTTTAAATACAGAAAAATGCAAATAATAATACAATAAGGGTCCATGTATCTACTACCCATTGAGCAAAGACTGGTATTTCTATATTTGTTTTTATCTAAAGAATTAAAATATTGCAGATAAAATTCACACTTATGTATTTCCTCCATTCCATTTTACCTCCTTTCCCCAGAGGTCACCAACAGGGATTTAAGGTGAATCCAAGCAGTGCTTCCATCCTTTTGTTCACAGTTTATTTACACATTTTTCCCTTTTGATGGAGGTCCATTTCCTGTTTTTCACTATAATATAATAAACAATGCTTCAGAGTATATCTTTATAACATTTCTTCCTGCCCAATATGCACAGAGTTTCTCTAGGGTCATGCTGTCTAATATGATAACTACTAGTCACATGTGTCTCTTGAGCTCTTGAAATGTAGCTAGTTTATACTGAGATGTAAGTGTAAAATATTAATTATATTTCCAAGACTTCGTATGAGAAAAATATAAAATATCTCAATAATTTTATATTGATTAAAAATTGAAATAATATTTTGCATATATTAATGTGTTAGTTCAAGCTGCTATAACAAAATACCCTAAAGTGGGTGGCTTGTAAACACAGAAATTTATATTTCACAGTTCCAGAGGTTGGAAGTCTGAGATCAGGGTACCAGCAGGTTGGGTTCTGGTGAGGGCCCTCTTCCAGGTTAGTGTGCTTACTTGTGTTATCCTCACATGGCAGAAAGAGAACCAGAGTTAGCTCTGTGGCCTCTTACAACAGCACTAATTCCATTCACCAGGGCTCTGCCTTCATGGCCTAATCACCTTCCAAAGATGTCACCTCATACCATCACTCTGAGGGTTAGGGTTTCAGCACATGCATTTGGGGGGCCACAAACATCCAGTCCATACCAGTTGGGTAAAATAAAATATGTTATTAAAGTTAATTGCATCTGTTTCTTTTTACCTTTTAAAAATTTAAATGTTTGTGGCTCACATTATATTTCTACTGAACAATGCTGCTCTAGGGTTTATAATTAAACCTGAAATTGCTAGGCATGTACATGCTGGGCAAATTTTCAGATTGATTATTTTCAACTTCCCTCAGTCCCTCCCCTTTATTTAACACCCCCACCCCCAACCCTGCCCCACCCTGTATTCCCCAGTACTTGGTGAACTTTCCTCTGTCTGGGCTCCTCTGGCACTTAACATCTGTATGTCTCATTTGGCATTTCAAATACGCAATTTTGTATTTTACTTTGTTCTTTCATATTGCGTTTTCCCCTTTACATCAAGGACCATATTTTATGACTTTGCTTCTCCAGAACTAAACTCAGGGCCCTATACGTTAGAGCAACTCAAACATTTAAAGAAGATTTAGACACACCGGCCTGGTGACTGTCTGCTGTTAGGCTGTGATTTGTCCTGGAACACTTTTATCTGATTTACTTAGAATATGCCACAAGTTTCTTGTACAGCCAGGCTTCTGCTTTCCATAATGTGAGAGAATTCCCTAAGAAGTAACATCAGTCTGTTTCATGATGAAACTGCCCATGTCTCCCCAACAAGCTTCTCACTTCGTGATGGGTCTGGAGTCTAGGGAACTGGTGAGGCCAGGGTGAACCTCAAGGGCATTTAGTTAGATTTTCAAGAGCTTTTCATATGACATCACTTTCAGCCATTTTATGATATGCTGTGTCAGGTTCTATAAAATATGGCATTATTATAGTTTATTGGACTATAAGAAGCAGCAGAATTGCAAAAGACAAGGAGATAGGTAAAGAGGGATAAAAGCTAGAAATGAGTAAAGTACAGAAATCAGAACTGCCTGTATAAGCTAGAAAAGATGCCCTTTCCTCAGGGCTGGCTCAGCCTGGCACCCGGACATCGGTACTGACTCTCTCAACTAGGGAGCCTTGTGCATAGTATTACCTTTAGTGTCCCGTGCAGTACTGTTTTGTGAAATGTTAACGCAAATGAATGGTTCAGTTCTTATGTTGGGGCAATTTCCAAATTCCTAATATGCAGCCACTGAGCAGCAGATGGGGACAAAGGCAAGCAAGTTTTAGAGCCCAGTATGAAACAACCAGAAGGTTTTCCTGAAAGTTCTCAAGTTCCAAAGGATGAAGGAGTGTTGATGTAGAAAGATCCGTGAAGAATGAAGGGTTTCACACATAAAAGGCACCATAGCACTGAATTGTAAGTATGTACTGTCTCCTTGCCTGGAGTGATCCTTAATTATATCTGAAATATATATATATATATATAAACTAGCCTGCCCACTGGAGGCTTGAGGCATATCTCTTTATTCTCTATTTCTTAAAGATGTAGAAGAATTCTTAGATAAGATGAAATAAGCAAAAATAAATAAATACAAAAGTGGGTGTGCCAAAAAAAAAAAAAAGATACAATGAGAAAAGAAGAAAGCCTTAAACCTGGCATATACATGAAAGTCTTCTCATTGAACAGAACCATTCCATAGAACATTAAGGTCCTTAAATATATTCCCAATTCTGTGCTGCTGCCTGCACAAAGAGACACAGAACGATGGCGGTGTTGCTCTGCTGAAAACGATGGAGGTCAGCACGGACCAGAAATGGGCTGGCTGCGGAATCCATCAGAGACAGGAGAGAGGGCCACCCCTCTGCGCTGCACCTCTTGGTGTGGGATTGAGACTGAAGGCTTCAGAGGCATCTGGAGTGGTTTCTTGTGCTCCTGCACCAGTGATGGGAATTGAGGAAAACCTGGGAATTGAGCAAATAGTGATAGAGATTATATTAAAGGAAATCTGATTTTAATCTTGACCCATCGTTCTGAAAGTCAGGATCATCAGTGGTAACTTTGAAACTTACAGATATTCACGTTCTGTCCTAAGCCTACTGGATCAAGTATTTTCAAGGGCAGAGCCTAGGAATCAGCATTTTAAACCATCTCCTCAGGAGTTTCGTATGTAGCTATTTCAAAAGCTGGCATTTGGAAACAGCATTCTTATTAAAGGAAAGAGACATGCTGCTCTGATCCAGAAGGTGTTAAATTGAACATCAAAGAGATGAGTTAAATTCATGTTAACCCCAATTTGACAGTGTGGAAGAGAAGCTTGAAATAGTAGAATGTGAATGGGTCTGGGAACTAGCCTTGTTCTAACACCTACTTTGTGGTCTTGGGGAAAATATCTCATATTTCTAAAGTTTCCTTCTCCCACCTTCTTTTTTTTATTTTTATTTATTTATTTTTTTTAGTTCTTCATTACTTGACATTCTCAGATCAGGATGACTAAGACTTCCAAGGAAATGAGATTTTTCTTGCCTGTCCAGATTGTTCCACACTGGTCACCAATATGGGTTTTGCTTTATACTCCAACGCCTCCACCTCACAAGTTTGTTTACAACTTAAAGCATTTTGCCCAAACATAGAACTGCACAGGCTATATAGCAATTATGTTTTTCCTTAGCACGTTATATATGACAAGCTTCTTCTCTCATTCTTCTCATATGGTCCTGAGGTATCACATCACATTTTCTGGTTGATTAATTACTCACACACAATTACAGTGGAGCGTGTGATATTCATTCTTGAGAGAAGAGTCGCACTCGCCCTCTGTGTTTCCGTGCTCTCCATTTGCATCAGCAGCAGGGTAATAGAAAATGACTTAAATGGAATCAGTGTTGTTATCACCCGCTCTAAAACCTAAACCCTGAGCTCCCTTGAGAGCTTTGTAAATTATAAATGATGGAATGAAGATTTAATTCAGTGCCTCTGAGATTCCCTCATATTTTTCATTTGCTCTTCTGGGATATCGGATTTTTTTCATTTGCTGTCAGGTTAATAATCTAGGAAGGAACACTTAGAAACTAGACTCATCATTGCAGGTCACAGAGCTATTCCACAATTTATTCATGTGTTGAATGTTTTCATAGAATTAAAAAGACCTCAAGCTTCGCCATTGCTGAGAAACAACTTGCTTTGTGTAATCTTTTTGGGGAAAATCCAAATAGAGCTCCACACTAGCAGTCAGAAGGTCTGGGTTCTCATTCAAATAGAACCTTCCTAGTCTTGTGACCTTAGGCTAGTCACGGATATCAGCCCCTTTTCTCACACTCTCATCAAATGGGGACGATGAGACTTTCCTGCCTGACATGTCTGGAAAGATCTAATTAGAAAAATACATTAAAAAGTACTTTGAAAATTATAAAATATCATATGAAATAAAGTTATTATAATGTATTATTTTGATTAGAGAATAAGAGATGATAAATCCAACAGGATTGTCATTTGACTTTATAACACTCATAAAAATGAATATTTTATAGATTTTTTAATAGCCAAAAATTATCATGTAAGGACTGTCAAATCATATTTTGAGTTGAAAAAGTGATCCTTTAGGTAAAAAACAGCAGGGAGTTGGCCTTGTTTTACATTCTTCTGACCTGTGTATTGCTAGTTCCCTGAGGGAAAAAAAAATTTTTCATTGAAATGTCAACTGTGGCTATTTCTAAGCAACATTTCACCTGAGTGTTTGGTTAATTACAGGGATGACCATGTTTACTCCAGGATTTTTCCTTGTTATTTGGAAAGAAACATGGTCATGTGTATATAACTTTTATCAGCAGCAAATACATAATAATCCCTTGTACTATTCTCGGTGCCAAAATGATGTCAAAATACAAAGACATACTTAAGTATGTCATACTTAAGTTTACAATTTAATTGGAGAGGTAAGACATAAGTACACAGAATTGTACCAAAATATAGTAAGTAGGAAATAGCAGCCATGAAGATAGTCTGTTTGTGTTGTGGACGGACAGAGTGAGGTATGCACTAAGGAAGTTATAAATGGTGAAAGAGAAGGTTGACTAGGTAGTGCAAGAAATACACAGAGTTTCTTAATAGCCAGCATGCTATGCGAAGGGAGCTTTGCAGGTCATTATTCCAGAAAGGGCTTTGTGAAAGTAATAAGATGATTATCTTAGCACACGTTCCCCGCATATAAAGCCTAAGGCAAAGCATATATGCTAATGCTTTATTGGGGATCATAATCCCAGGGAATCAAAAGTAAGGGAATAGAGGAAGAGGCAGGGAAAGGAGGAGGCCAAATCTTAGAGAGAGGATGCACCACCGAGTTGGCCACGATTGGTCACTGGGTCTTGCAGGACATCTTCAGAGAGACCACCTGATACTAACGCAGCTTGAAACAACCCATGGCATGACAGGAGAGTGCAAGCAATCTAATCTCTGGCTTCTTCCTGTCTCTTGGCCATTGGTCCAACTCTGCTCCATGAGATGTTAATGTCCGTTTGCCTCTAGGTTGGATCAGCCAGCTTCAGGCAGCCACTAGGGAAGCCAGAGCCTCCATGGGTCCAGTGCAGCAAGGCACTATCTGCATGCAGGTATGCAATGGTGGTGACAGTGGCAGCAGCTGAAGCTTTGTAACTATAGTCATAGAGCCACCGCTGCTGGGAAGCAAGGCAAATAGGGCACACAGTTGGGAGTAGGAGCTTGTGAGTGGAGTCACGGAGATCTGGGATGGCACACGAATAGAGTCCAGTCAATGATTAATCTGGTATGTGGTGCCCAGGAGGATGACAAAGGCTGTACAAACAAAAGAAATTTAGTCATAGATGGCTGACAGCAGTCATTTACGGAATATGAACCTGCACTAGAATAGTGGGAATGGTATGAGGCACAGAAATGAATTTAGAAATGTTTCCTAAGAAAGGCTTTCTGTTGGTTTTAAAAGCAAATACGAGATAGGGGATAGAGGAATGGGAAAACTAAGCAAAACAATGTGTTCCTAAAGTGGATCAGAGTCTGATGCAGTTTTCTTGAGCATACTGTGGTAGGTTATCATAAAACCTAGATTGCTGTGTTCACGAAATAATTTTAAGTGTTGGAAACAAAGCGTATGCCTCCCATTTTATCTGTGGTACCACACTTCACACTTTTATTCTATGAGTGCAGTTGATTTAGGATTAGAATTTAGAATTCTCAGTTCCTGTTAAGTGCTTTCATCCAACTGTTTTTTTTTTTTTTTTTTTAGACTTTGGCCCCACTGTGCTTATGTTTGTTATTCTTCTGAACCTTAATTAATTCCACAGAGAAGTTACTTTATATTCAAACTTTTTTCCCACTCAGCCCATAGACTCTGGTCATACTGGATATTTCTTGGGTCTCTTAGTGTAATAATGATCCTTTTTTGCATTGTTAACCATCTTGTTCAATATCCTTTCCTGACGAGCAGAGGCATAAGTGTGGAAAAAGTTCTAATGAGGTCCTATTCCAAGATAGGGCTCTCCTTTTCCTTGGTTATGGTTTGTGGAGTTTAAGCAATTACTGGGGGGAAACAAACGCCTAAAGCTTTGTCAAATCAGAGGCAAGTCAAAAAGTCTAAGGCTAGGATATCTGTCCAAACGGGACTATAGGCAGAAAAGCCTAAGGCTAGGATATCTGTCCAAATGGGACTATGGGCAGAAAAGCCTAAGGCTAGGATATCTGTCCGAATGGGACTGTAGGCAGAAAAGCCTAAGGCTAGGATATCTGTCCAAATGGGACTATAGGCAGAAAAGAAGCCAAGTTTGAAGCCAGAATGGTCAGAGAACAAGGGGAGCTGATATTAAAAGAACCAAAGATAACAGAGGGGAGGTAAGCCTGGCACGATTTCCAAGCTACTGCACAGGTGCCCAGCGTAGCCTAGGAGGAGATGCTTATGGTGAAAAATGTCCGTATGTTTTAACAACTATGGCAACTATTTGCCCCGTGTACCCTATTTTTTAAAAAGTCACTAAATTTAATAGAAAAAAAATGCAATGCATGTGAAATACCAGTGAAGGATAGCATGAGTGAGCACAATGGAAACAACAGTGCAGCATTTTAAACTGTGAGCAGCTAGCCACAGACCACAGCATGTGGCCTGCCTCATTCAATCGTTCTCTTCTGGTAGTTCACTGGCCCTCTCTTAAGGGGCCTCTCAGTTTTAAATGCACTGCAAGCATTTGGGTAGCTATGACACACAATGGTCAGAAATACATTTCTATATAAGTTGATTACCTGAAATCATAATTTTTTTTTTTAATTTTGAGACGGAGTCTCACTCTGTTGCCCAGGCTGGAGTGCATTGGCATGATCTCGGCTGACTGCAACCTCCACCTCATGGATTCCAGCGATTCTCCTGCTTCAGCCTCCCAAGTAGCTGGGACTACAGGTGCGCACCACCAAGCCTGGCTAATTTTTGTATTTTTAGTAGAAACAGGGTTTCACCATGTTGGCCAGGCTGGTCTCAAACTCCTGACCTCAGGTGATCTGCCTGCCTTGGCCTCCCAAAGTGCTGGGATTACAGGCATGAGCCACCACACCGGACCTGAAATCTTAATTTTTTAACCCACAGAAAGGGTTTTAATTTTGATGTTGTGCTGGGTTTCCTTTGAAACTGAGTCATTGTGCACGAAATATGAAGACTACTGAACATGAAAATTTAATAGAATGCAGTTTCCACATCCTGATGTGGAAAACATGTATAATAAAAACCAACTACCACTTTGGTTGTTCTAGCAAACTGCTTTTATTGGTCAAATGGAAATCACTCATTCTAACAGCTGAGAGATATTATTCAAATGAAGGTAGTCTTTCATTTTCTCTAAAATTCTTCAATTTAAGAATATTGAGTTTAAAAAAATGACTTCTTCTGATATCAAAGTTAGACATGGTTACAGAACATACGTAGCAGACAATGGATTAAATATGCTTTCTATAGAGACTCTACATCACTAATATAAAATTTTTGATAATTCTCAAAGAAGAATTAGAAAACAAGTATAGCACAGCATGGACTTTGGAAGCAGACTGTGTGATTCGAGTCTTGGCTCTTTTATTTTTTAGCTTGTGACCTTGGCAAATGACTAAACCATTATTGCCTCAGTTTCTTCATCTGTAAAATGGGAATCGTAATTATAATTCCTACATGTCTCACAGAGTTGTTATGAAGATTAAGTGAGATAACACAGGCAAACTGCTTAGAACAGTCCCTGACTCATAGTAAGTACTCTCTATAAGTGTTAGTGGGCTGAAATTACTATTGTTAATTAAATAAAAAGGAGGAAGGAAACTTTCTCAACAAATAAGCAATATAAACAAGATTTCAAAGAAGAATTGGTTACTTGCTTAAAAGAACAAACTTTTTCAAGCATATTAAATGTACTGGTTTTCTTTAATATTGTTTCATATGACTAGATATTATAGGAGCAACAGGATGGTATGCCCGCTGCACGGTAACAGCCATGATTGAGTGGGTGCTGAGCGATGAGATGGAGGAGACCCTAAAATTCATCTCCCTGAGGAGATCTGGGTTGGGATTTTTAAGGGGACCATGAGGAGAAAGAGGATGGGAATTGGGGTCATTGATTGGTTGGGTTACGGAGGATGAAATCATCAGGATGTGGAAACTGCATTCTTTGGTGAGTCAGCTTCTCGTGGGATCCTTCAGGCAAGCTGATGTCAGTAGTTTCACTGGTACGTAGGACCTGAAAGAATATCTCAAATGGAAAACTTAACATTATATAATGTTCAAGCTGTTATCCATAGAGCAGTTAAGGGGAACTATAATTTTGTCACAGGGTCTACGTGATTCTGGGACAAGAGGCAAACAGCTATGAGGAAGCAGGTCAGAGAGCAAGCTGACCTCATAATCCATGCTGAATGTACCACAGGCTTGGTTTATTTTACATTCCCCTTGTCCTTTTTTCCTTGATTAATTTTATAAAGCTTCTAGGGATGGTCTCATAAAGACCACTACTTAGTAAAGTAGTATCTTTATTAAGCAATCTTCGTAGAGTTTTGTTTCCATTACTATCTGTGAACAAAAATAGTTAAACTGCATCTTTTTAAATTTCTACAAATTGATATATTTTTGAGTGAGCAAAATTTTCATTAATTTGAGAAAAATGCATCCACTTAGTTTGGAAGATTTTACTGTGTGCTCATTCACCCAGCCAACTCTGAAGACCACAAGACAGGTATTTACAGTTGCCCCATTTTATAGGTAGAGAATTTGAAACACAGTCCATCCAGATATTGTTCAAAATGATCCAGAGAATCTATGATGACATAAGTTATCCCCTAATCATCTTCACTTCCAAATTTACTTCTCTCCCATTTCTTTTCTAAGTCAATGCAACATCAGCTATTAATTATAACAAACCAGTAACCCAAGACTTGCTTTGATTCTTCTTCATTCATTCCCACAGCCAACAAAGATTAACTTCCTTAAATATGGTGGACCTTCCTCGTCTCTCCTTCCCTAGTGCCACTGCATCAGTTTCATTCCTTATCACAGTAACCATATTTCTCCACTAGGTTTCCCTAGAACCAGGCTTGGCTCACAATCCATTTTCCTCATTGCAGCCCAAGGGAACTTCCCATAAGGAAAACCTCCAAAAGCAAAATCAAAAGAAAATAAAATTCTCTAGAATTGTATTGTAATGGAAGTGAACAAAAACAGCTTAATGGCTCCTCAGAGCCCTCGGGACACATTCCAAGCTCCACGCATGGCATTTAAGGGTTTTCTAGGAGAGTCCTTAGTCTTTTCATTCTCTGTTTAGAACTCCGTCCTACCATTTTGAATTATTTGCAGGCACCTAAATGGTGCAAGCTCTGTCAGATCTCCATGTATTTACATAAGCTGTTTTCTCTTCCTGGAATAGGATAAGAGGATTGGCTGTCACTTCACTTCCCCATCATTTTTTTTTTTTTTTTTTTGGCCTTGTTAAAGTGTGCTTAATCTTTAAGACTCACTCAGGTGGTACCTGCTTCCCACAGAAAATACCCTGAGTTGGGTGTTCCTCCTCCCACTATAGGCAGAGTTTCTCCTTCTACCTCCTTCTCTGGATTATGTGCTCCTTGAAGGCATGGGTTTCGTCATAGTAACCTTTTCATACAACAGATAAGGATTGACAGGTCTCGGTCATGGCCTTTTTTGAAGCACGCTCTTCTGTTTAGTGTGAACTTGCTTACCCCAGTCTAGATACTTGAACTATAAATAAGCTATTCAATGTGGCCATCTAGTGGCCAAAGTGAGAAAATAACTGTATTATTGGGTAGTTGTATATTGATAAACACACCTTGTATTAATATTTAAGCTCCAGAGTTGTATTGATATTTAACCTCCAGAGCCCTGTCCACTCCCATGCCTTCCACCCACTTTCTACTACTTAAAGCAATTTAGCTCCAAGATATTCAACTATTCAGTAATAATAATAATACCTTACGCATTACCACTTTACTAAACATGTATATTCTCATTTAATACAGCCACACACCCACACGATGAGACAGCATTTTGGTACTATTATCTCAGTTTTACTGGTGAGCAAATTGAGATTCTGGGATGTTAATTAATTTTCCCATGGTCACAGAGTAATTATGTGAAAAAAAATGAAATTGATCTGAAGTCAGACGACATTCATTAGGTAATATGGAGAAAACTGGAATTGAATACAGGACTTTTGGCCTCAAACATATGTCTCTATTACTGAATTTATCACATTGTTTTATAGTAGTTTACTTCTCTGTTTATAATTCATCTTTTTTTCTTATTGTCTAGCACAGTGCCTGACACACAGTATGTGTATGACATGTGTTTGTTGATAAATATTGCAAATGAGTGTATAATCATTAAGTTATACCGGAAAGAACTATTTGACTCAAACTGATGCACAGAGTAGACATTTAAATATATATTTTCACTTCTGTGCTTTTATACATACTGTATCCTTGGCCTTGAAATATCCTCACTCTTGTCAACTTGATAAAATTCTCCTGTTCATCAATTCAAATGTTGCTTTCCCTTAAAACCTTCCCCAGTGTTTCCCCAGGCAGAGATAAGTACTTCCTCCATTGCATTCTCCAGCTCCCCGACACAGCTTTGTTTAACTCTTATCACATTCCTGTAATTGTTTGTTTACACATCTGTCTTCTCCAGACTGTGAGATCTTTGGCAGCAATTCAGGCAGAAGGAACAGCAGTATCAAAGCTGCCAGCTCTGAGTGAACATGCCGGGCAGTTTGCAGCCTGGGCATGGTGTGTATCCCGTTGCAGCAAGCTTAGGCAAAGCCTAATGATATGCCAACGAGATTTGATTTTACAGACCGCTGTCTTCAAAACCGCTGGGGGGTACATAAGCCCTTTCCAATGGTTCCAATTTTGAAATGTTTATATTACACAATTCTTTAAACTTAAGACAAAAAATGTAGATGTCACAGTTTAAATATGGTTGTATACATAGTTTTTCAAAATTCTATTAGGGAAAACAGTAAGAAAAAGATGGACTATCCCTGCTGTGGACCATGGACAGCCATGGAAGGCAGATCAGCTTTGCGCCATCCCCTGTAGTGACTGACCTTCCCACCTCTTGGTCCTGGCTCCACACCCCAGAGTCCAAGGCACTCTTGCAATAATTCAAGGAGGCTTCAGCTAGAAATGCCCATTTCATTCCTTTCTGTTCCTTAACACCTATTCCATCTTTTATGACCCAACTTAAGCTTTATCTCTGAATGAAGCCAGTAGTCCACTGGGATTTTACTTTTTCTGGTTTGTTTTTGCACCATAACTTTGACATATGATCACATATCATCTTACATTGTTCTGTAATGTTGTGTGTGATATAAAAATACAGTATTGCAGTCTTCTTGAGGGTAGGACCACATGTCTCTGGTTTCTCCAAAAGACCTACTCAGCACAGTGATAGGCACATACCTGATCCATCTGCAGCTTTGCAGCGAAGGCACAGACATCACTTTACCACTGGTAGAATTTGTGGAGAGGTAGAAGTCACCCTTTAGTGGCGGCAGGTGGTATTAAGACAAAATCACAGGATTTGGAGTAAGTCTTGGGTTCTCAAAACTGTCTCCACCACCTGTTGGTGGAGACATCAATTCCTTAACCCTTGGAGCCACAGACCTTCTTTCCAAAAGAGTGCATATCATATGTGGAGTGATGATCATGGGACCTGGTGCATAACCGGCACCCAGTTTGCAGCACTCATCATTCCCATTGCTTTTCAGTGTTCACGGAAATGGATGCACCATTTGAAGTAGAATTTGGTTGTCTTCCTCATATCTGCTCATGTACCATGTAGTTTTTATTTGCGTTAATAAGGCTCAACATCAGTTAAAGGTCTAAAGTAGTTGTAAGACAGTCCTTTCATTCTTATCCTCCTGGTGGAGTGTTGTGGGAATCAAATAAAATACAGCAATTAATTCCAACTCAAGACCAAAATTTGTTAGTAAATAAAGCATTGATGGGAGAAGGGCTGCATATTTTGCAAGGAAGATGTAGATTAGATCATTTCAGTTGGGTTACCCTCGAAGACTAAGTCAGTCTGACTCATGCTGCCACTCAGTTATATGCTCATGCTATCAGGGAGGACTTGGGAAATACAAGGTTTGCTAGATCTGTACTAACATGTCATGGTACATAACAGCTGAAATCAGGCACCTGAAACTCATTGTGCTTGCTAAGACACAGGCTTGATCAAAAACGATATTAGTAAATGTTAAAGTCTCTTTGACCAAAATAACCAGAAGGAAAGTGTTACTAACCTCTTGCACCCTGACTTATCACAAGGCTGGGATTTTTCATACTTCAGCTCTGAGTGCAATGGGTCTTTTCCTGACAGCCTGCCAATAGCAGCTGCGTCCCTTTCTGTGTCCTTCCCACCATGCCTCACATTATCCTCTATCCCTGCACTCTCTATTCTTCATAGCACTGCACTGATTTGCTTGTTTGATTTGTTTTTTTATTGTCTCTCTTACCCACTGGACCTTAAGGCCATGAGGGTTGGTTTCACTCACCTCTTTATATTTATTTTCTAGCACAGTGACTGAAACATCACAAGCAATAAGTAATGACTAAATGAATGAATGAATATATGAACATGATATGCTCATACCAGCTTATTTTACCAGCTTATTGCTTTCACCATAAGAACTCATTTATTCCTCTCTAAGGTACATTGAAATTTACTAATTTACAACAGTGCAATTATTTGTACTGAGTTTTCTTGCCTATGAAAGACTAAATCGTATTCAATGTAAATCAACTAAAAGTTGAGTGCCAAACTATGTTTTAACACATAAAGGCAGTTATAAAAGTAAATACCATTATACTTAATAAGAAAGTTTGTAAACTACGTAAAACCAACAGTATTTCATTAGCGTCAACTTATGTCATTTTCTTTAGGTTTTTAGATTTTTTTTTCTAGGAATCTAATCAGGTAAAGAAAGGATAATATCACTTTTTAGATAAAAATTTAATAAGGTAAAAATAGACTTCTGAATATGAAAGTCATCTACCTTGATACTTTCATTGTCCCAATAATCACTACTGTGATTTGAATTAAATCCATTATTTGCTATATTTGCTATTATATCATTACTTTCTTTCTTTTTCTTTCCTTTTCCCTTCCTTCCTTTCTTCCTTCCTTCCCTCCTTTCTCTTTCTTTCTTCCTTCCTTCCTTCCCTCCTTTCTCTTCCTCTTTCTTTCTCTTCCTTCCTTCCTTCCCTCCTTTCTCTCTTTCTTCCTTTTTCTTTCTTTCTTTCTTCTTTCTTCTTTCTTCCTTTTTCTTTTTCTTCCTTCCTTCCCTCCTTTCTCTCTTTCTTCCTTTCTTTCTTTCTTTTCTTTCTTTCTTTCTTCCTTCCTTCCTTCCTTCTTGCTCTCTGTCTGTCTGTCTGTCTGTCTTTTGATGGAGTCTTGCTCCATCGCCCAGGCTGGAGTGCAGTGGCACAATCTCAGCTCACTGCAACCTCTGTCTCCGAGGTTCAAGCAGTTCTCCTGTCTCAGCCTCCGAGTAGCTGGGATTACAGATGCATGCCACCATGCCTGTCTAATTTTTGTATTTTTAGTAGAGACAGGTTTTCACCACGTTGGCCAGGCTGGTCTTGAACTCCTGACCTCAGGTGGTCTGCCCACCTCAGCCTCCCAAAGTGTTGAGATTATAGGTGTGAGCCACCACGCCCAGCCTTATACCATTATTCTCTGAAGTATTTTCTTCCACTTGATTCCAAAACCCAATCTTCTTCCGGTCACTTGAGTATTTAGTAAATTTCGCTTATTAATTCAAAGAACATTTATTGGATGCCATGTGTGTGAGACACTGGGAATAATATTGCTCCCCACCCTCCAACTCCCACAGAAGAACAAACCTGTCATGGTATAAATGAATATTAACTATGTTATACCAATTGCTTTCTGAGTCCAGCACCTCTGTATTTCATTCTTATTAATTGCAGAATCGTGAAATGTTAAAATATGAAGGGATTTTCAATTTTATGAAAACAAAAAGAGATTGTTTGATTTGCTGAAAGTTACAGAGCTATTTCGTGGGGAGCTGGGACTTGCCTCCAGGCCTCTTAACCCGTTTGCCACCCACACCCTTTTCTCCCTTACTTCTCAGGAGACCAGTCTTATTTTCATTCTTCATTTGAACTGCTTTTCTTTCAGTCTCTCTGCGTCCACTCATTCAACAAATATTTATGCTCCAGGAAGCTCACGATTTTATTGTCTTCCCCACATCTGTTCATACACCTTGTGGTTTTTACTTCAGTTCATGTAATCACTCGCTATTCCTTAGGCAGGTTAGAAACCTCCAAGTTATTTTATTTATTTTATTTATTTATTTATTTATTTATTTATTTATTTATTTATTTTGAATCAGAGTCTCACTCTTGTTGCCCAGGCTGGAGTGCAATGGCACGAACTCGGCTCACTGCAACCTCCACCTCCCTGGTTCATACAATTTTCCTGCCTCAGCCTCCCAAGTAGCCAGGATTACAGGCTTCTGCCACCGCGCCCAGCTAATATTTTGTATTTTTAGTAGAGACAGGGTTTCGCCATGTTGGCCAGGCTGGTCTTAAACCCCTGACCTCAGGTGATCCACCCGCCTCGGCCTCTCAAAGTGCTGAGATTACAGGTATAAGCCACCGTGCCCAGCCAAAAACCTCAAAGTTACTTTTAACTCCTCTCGCCCCTCACGCCTCACATTCGATAAGCAGATAGATTCTGTTGATACCAGTTGCTAAATGTTTCTGGAATCCAGACTTTGTTGTTCATGCCTTTTAATGTCATCCTAGCTGAGGTCCCATCATGTCTTGCCTGCTGTTGCAATAGCCTTCAAGTTGGTTTCCATGGCCTCCAATCGTGTTTTACATTCTCTACTACTGCCAGAATGAGCATTCACTACTGAAGAAAAAGGAGGAGGAGGAAAAGGGGAATCTAATGATGTAAAAGGACAAGAGAGTAACAGATTCATAATTTACTATTTCATAGAGGAAAAGGTTAAAAAATAAAAAAAATTAAAATAACACAAACGTTAGCTAGAAGTTAAAAGCCTTTGTCAATGTGGCTCTCTCTAAATTTCTCTTTCCATCTCCTGTGAGCCCTGACATCTTTGAATCATCGTTTATAGACCCCTTGGTGTCCTTTTACGTCTCCATGCTCTGGTACATATTTCTTCACTCTTCCTGGAATGTGTTTCTGCCTTGTGTGCAAATGCTTCCCTTTCTGTGTCTCCAATCCATTGTGTGGCAGTGGGAGCATTCACACATTGCATGGTCATTGTCAGTGTTTACACACGTACATTCCCTTCAGACATCTAGAGTTCTGTCTCTTAGTCACCATGGGCCATCCACTGCACAGTGCCTGGCACATAGTAGGTGCTTGTTAAGTGAGTACCTTACTCTCTGAAGGTGACAGAGAAATATACAAACAGTATCATTAAAGCGGACTTGTTGCAAAATAGCGGTACACGTGAAGACCATGCAAGCCCAGAAGACCCCCTGACCCCTGTCAGCAATCCTTGTGTGTGAACAGTTTGTATGCTGACATCTGCTGGTAGTACGCAGGTTACGGCAGTCCTCTGCATCATTTTACTGCTACTTCATTCAGCTTGAGCTTTTGCAACCCCCTTTGACTTTACCTCTAATAGCTGAGTCAGAGACAGCCAAGAGAAGGTAAACTAAAAGAGACACTTGCTCTAGTGACTCTCCCTTACTCGTTCTGGAATTTCTCTTCAGGAGAAAGTTTAATACAATAGGGGCATCTTTGGGGTGGGGCTGATTTAGGGCTTTTAATTTTTGTCTAATCTTTTTTTAATCTGCATGGCATTTTCCATTTTATTTTATTTTATTTTTTTTTTTTTTGAGATAAGGTCTGGCTCTGTTGCCCAGGCTGGTGTGCAGTGGCGCAATCTCAGCTCACTGCAACCTCGACCTCTCTGGGCTCAAGCAACCCTCCTGCCTCAGCCTCCTGAGTAGCTGGGACCACAGGCGTATGGCACCACATCTGGCTAATTTTTGTATCTTTTGTAAAGACAGGGCTTGCCATGTTGTCCAGGCTGGTCTTGAACTCCTAGGCTCAAGCAATCCTCCCACCTCAGCCTCCCAAAGTGTTAGGATTACAGGCGTGAGCCACTGACTGCCCTTCTGTGGTTCCTTTTATGGATAACTATTTTCAGTATAATTTCCTTGGGACTATAGACACTATTACTCTTGGCTTTGAGAGCACTCTATCGATCTCAGATACTCTGTAAGGTATTTCCAGTGGAGAATGTATCACGTCTCTTATGCCCGGTTTCCCCCTGCACCATGCTATACTTTTCCACTTTCTCTTCTTGCAGGGATTGTTTCCATTGCCACCCTAACCGTGCTGGCCTATGAACGTTACATTCGCGTGGTCCATGCCAGAGTGATCAATTTTTCCTGGGCCTGGAGGGCCATTACCTACATCTGGCTCTACTCACTGGCGTGGGCAGGAGCACCTCTCCTGGGATGGAACAGGTACATCCTGGACGTACACGGACTAGGCTGCACTGTGGACTGGAAATCCAAGGATGCCAACGATTCCTCCTTTGTGCTTTTCTTATTTCTTGGCTGCCTGGTGGTGCCCCTGGGTGTCATAGCCCATTGCTATGGCCATATTCTATATTCCATTCGAATGGTGAGTTGAAGACTACAGATGCCCCCCTCCCAAACCACATCCAGGGTAGAAAATTTTGTCTGGAAAATAATGAAAGTCTTCCTATGTCATCAGTAGTTGCCCAGAGGTAGAGCAGTTCTAGGGGACTTCCCATCTGGTTGAATTTTATGCTATGAGTCACTCTCTGGAAAGATCAATGCGGAATAGCATTTACTCTCTCTACATCCCTCTCTCAACCAAAAGAAGGAAAGAAAAATCTTCTGACTGACAAAATCAGCAACCAAAAAACCCTACATTATCCAACACTCTTAAAATTTAAGAATTTAAAAGAGGGAACTCCACACTTCCCATAACTTTGTTTATTCAGAGGTCATATGAATTTGACTAGAGAACAGCACAGATGTTTTGTTTGGCGATCACACCAGAGTCATAAAGGGTAAGAACTGACCACAAACAATTTCACGTTGGGTGCCAACAAGAACTTTCCAGTTTGAACTCAAACCCAGTGTGGAACAGGCTCCACTTCCCAGTCTCTAGCTTTGGCCATGGATGTTTCCTTCCTCATTCACTGATTCTTCCAACTCTATTCTCTGCTTCTGTCTCTAGTCTCTTGCTCACTCCGTCAAACCCTTCTAACTTTCACCTTTTTAAAAAATCGGACTTAGCTACATGCATCACTTTAAATCATTTGTTTCTACATTCTTTACATATGCCAACTTTGTTAAAGACAAAATCCCTAGATCAGTTCAATCATCTATTTTCTCTATGCCTGTAGTCAAACTGCAAGGAGGAGCTGGAAAAAAAAAAACAAAACACATCTGTCTACACTTAGATGTCCTCTCAGCCTTGTTCTACCAACCTTTCTATCCCTGTATGTGTGGTCTACTGTCTCCACACTGTGACTATTACACAGACTCATTTCTCATTTTAATTTCTCACCCTACTGTCTCCTCTCATTCTTATCAAGTAAGTCTGCTTCTGATTTATCGGACCAAACAAAGCCATTATCAAGGGTTCCTTTGACTCCTTACCTCTCTTTACACAAACCACTGATTCTTAGGACTCTCTCTTCAGTTACAGGGCGACAGGAGAGGTCTCCCAGGACCAACTCGATTCTGTATTCTGATTGCTCCCCCACCCCCTTCCATGCCCCAGAGACACTTCTTAATAATTTTCTCTTTCCCTTGTATCTTCACACTCTCCCTTACCACTGGCCCTTTCCCTTTAGCATATTACCAGGCTATTTTGTTTTTAATCACAATCTACTCTCAGCTCCCTCTAGCTATCACTTTATTTTTCTCCATTTTGTCACTGCTAACTCAAAGAACCATTGGTGACTCTTGGTGCCACAATGTCACTCACTAAGCATTCATTTACCTGATATTTATTGAGCATATCAAATATGCCAATTTCTTGCTGTTATAGACTGAATGTTTGTGTCCCTCTCAGATTCCTACGTGGAATCTCTAACCACCGATGTGACAGTATTTGGGGATGGGGCCTTGGGAGGTAATTAGGGTCAGAGGAGGTCATGAGGATGGGGCTCTGGTCTGATGGGATTAGGGGATTAGTGTCCTTGTAAGAAGAGACACCAGAAAGCTTGCTCTTTCTCTCTCTCTCTCTATCTCTATCTCTCTCTCTCTGTCTCTCTTTCTGTCTTCCCACGAGTGCATAAATAAGAGAACATGGAAGCACACAGTGAGATAACAGTCAAGAGAGGAGGCCTCAGAATGATACCTACCTTGCCAGCTACTCTACCTGGGACTTCCCAGCCTCCAGAACTGTGAGAAATACATTTCTGTTGTAGTTCAGGGAGTTGGTAGTTTAGTAAGTTTATCTAGCATTCATTCCTCAACTTAAGGCAAACTTGTGACTCCTTCCTCTACCGCACTGCCACTAATACAGCCCTCATTTCAGGTCATTGATGAGCTCCCAGATATGTGATCCCATGGACACATTTTTATTCCTTTCTAGCATCCTCAGCGTTTGAGACTATTGCCAACTTCTACTTTCTTGTGGTGGTCTCCTGCCATCGATTCTAGGGCGCCTTTCTCTGCTGTCTTTGTTGCTGACTCTCTGGCGCCATCTTCTTATCTCTTCCAAGGGCTTCTCTTCTTTGGGCCTCCCCAGCATCCTATGTTTAGCTCTTGTCCCATGCTACACACTGGCCTTGGGTGGTCTTTCATACTGCCAGGATTTCTCCTTCTGACACAAGCTTGATAACATCTCCATTTCCAGTTCAGGTCTTTCTTCCAGCCTCTAACAGATCCTCGTAGTCAATTGCCTCTTGAACACCTCCACTTGGATGGTCCACAGACTCATCAAATTTAACAAATATAAAGATTAATTTGTCATATTTTCCCTAAAATCTTCTGCTCGTCTATTTGCTTTCTCATTGAATAGTCATCATTCCTAGATACCAAGACCAGAAATTAGGGAGTAATCTTTGACTATGTGTCATCCATGTCTCCCCCAACACACAACTATTGATCAGTTCTTATCCATGCCACTTACATGTTTTTTTGTTTCGTTTTGTTTCTGTTTGTTTGTTTGTTTTGTTTTGTTTTGTTTTTTGAGACGAAGTTTTACTCTTATTGCCCAGGCTGGAGTGCAATGGCAGAATCTCGGCTCACTGCAACCTCCGCCTCACAGGTTCAAGCAATTCTCCTGCCTCAGCCTCCTGAGTAGCTGGGATTACAGGTGCCCACCACCATGCCTGGCTAATTTTTAAAATATTTTTAGTAGAGATGGGGTTTCACCATGTTGGCCAGGCTGGTTTCGAACTCCTGACCTCATGATCTGCCCGCCTTGGCCTCCCAAAGTGCTAGGATTACAGGTGTGAGCCACTGCTCCTAGCCCTATATTTTTTGGTATATCCATTTTTTCCTCTCCCACTGCCACAGACTCAGTTAAAAAAAAAAAACTTAGTTCTCCTTTTTAAAATTTTTGCTTTCCTCTATTCCATTCTTTACACACTGCCATCAGAGTAGTTGTTCTCAAGTATTACCTTCAGAAGTTCCACTGTCTTTGTGACTCAAAATAAAGCCCCTGGGTGTGGCCGGCAGGTCCTGTATGGCATCTCCTGTCTACCTGTCCAGCCTCATTTCTTGACACTCCTGTCTTCTTGCCACCTCATGATGCGGCCAATGGTAATATTTCTTGTTTTCAGAAACTGACTTTTTATTTTGCCTCTTGTCTTAGCACACTTTCTTTCTCTGGAACATTCTGTCTCTCCTCCTTACTTGACTAATTCCTCCTTCCCTCACAAGGCTAACAGCACGATTTTCTTGCTCTAACCCACCCTCAGAACCAGTTTCCCATCCTGTGTACTACCATATCCTCCCTGTTTACCTCCCTCATGGCTTCTACCCGCTCAGTGTGCATCATCCTCACCAAATAGTGAATTCCTCAAGAGCAGAGACTGGGTCTTATGTATTTTCTCACCTGTGACTGGAACAGTGTCTGCATGTAGTAGGTAATCAGTGACTATTTTTGGAATGAGTTACAAGCAGAGGGCATAGAAAGGGGAAGACAGGAGAAGGGGTGAAAGTGTGAAGAGATTTGACTTTAGCTGCTATCTAAACAGAGAGCTCACTGCAAGTAATTTGCCTCCGTTTCCTTATTCAGAGAGAGGTGACTCATAACAACGATGGAGACATAGCTACACACTTGAGAATGAAGATTCACAGTGAAATTCTTTGAAAATCTACAGATGTCTTGGATTAAGGAGCACTAGGCACCAGCCATTTATACAGCCAGAGAACAATCTGATAGAGAATTCTGAAGAATTTGTCTTAGCTGGTTCATTCTTTAGGACAAATTTGTGCCTGTGCCAATCATTTCAAAATTGCTTCATCCATAGCAATTTTGAAAACTATCCTCAAATGATTGAATAAAGAGGGTAAGACATGAAATCGAGTTTTTTATTTGGAAAATATTTAATGAGCAGAATGAAGGAATAGAAAGTAATGAAAGAAAGAGGCCTGAAAAAGATAAATAAAAAATAATCATGAAAACTTCACATATATAAACCCAAATAATCTAAAACATTAGTCAATATCTTCTCCTTATCCCAAAGAGGAACTGGGGATGTATAGACAAACATTTATTTAAATTAATTTCCCCAGCATGCATGTAATTCCAAGATGGATAAATGAGTGTTCTCCTTTGATAAATGGCGAGAGGGGATAAAGACTGACCTGCCCAGAAAATGGTACAGATAAAACGATTGGACCTAAATACTGGAGGTTTGGGAGGCAGATAACTGAGATGTGGTTATGTTGCTTGTTAATTGAAACTCTGAAGAGTCAATAATGATTCCAGATATCCTATAGTATCATAAATGTACATATACATACAAGTGTGTTAGTCTCATATCTAGTTCAAATATAAATAAGTATTTAACCTCAAAAACAACCCCACAAAGTCATACGTGTGGAAATGGAACTCAAGTTCTGTTAATTCTCATAGGTTTTTTTGCTTTACCTCCTTTCTTGTTTACTCTTAGAGGAGGTTGTTGACTTGCTCAATATCACACTGCGAGCAAAAGTGGTTAATCTGGGATATAAACTTAGATCTTCTAATTCCAAATCTAGACCTTTTATCAAAACCCCACAGCCTTCCTATAAACTAGGGAAGCTCCCCCAAAATGATGTTTTGAAAATAGAAAAATATTCTATCCCATTAAATAAAACAGTTTCTTTTAAAATAGAATTGCACACACAGAATAGTAGTATTCGGTTGGTGCAAAAGTAATTGCGGTTTTTGCCGTTAAAGGTAAACCTTTAAAGGTAACCTTTTTTAAAGGTAAATTATTTACCTTTCTGCACACCAAAAATATGTTCCTAAATAAAAATAGTTATCTCTGAACATTGTAATAAGTTATATGAATTTTACTACAAAAATACAAATACTTTATATATTGATTTTTTAAAGTAATTGGCATAGTGGTAAAGGAATATTATTTACCTTTAAATAAGGTGACCTTCAAAGGTTTACCTTTAATGGCAAAAACCACAATTACTTTTGCACCAAACTAATACCAGAAATTTAATACCCACTTTTCCCTGCACATAGTCTCTCTACCCTAAAAAAATCAATGATTTAAATTTTTCCTATTTCTCTCTATTCTTTGCTAATCTGAATACATGATTTTGATAAGAATATAATTTCTTAAATATAATTTTGGATATCAGTAATTTGAGAATTTTAATTAAAATATATTTCTAAATAATCTAAGCACATGTTCTAAATGATTTCTTTGGAAATTCTTTCTCTTAATTTTTATGATAATGCTAGAACCAAAAGGTACACTTAGAGTTCATTGAAATGCAGTAAATTTCCAGGCATAAAGTAATCAATACTAAGTATTAACTATATGCTAACTACTTAAAAAATCAATATATAGAGTATTTGTATTTTTGTAGTATAATTCATATAACTTATTACAATGTTTAGAGAGAACTATTTTGATTTAGGAACACATTTTTGGTGTGCAGAAATATTCTTTGCCTGTGTATTATTATGACACATATATAATAATAGGAGAAACAGCAAAAAGAAACATATTCAAGAAACTCAAAGAACTTTCAGGCTGTACATCATTACTCCTCCATCCCTTTAATGGGAACAGACTGCGAGTAGACAGGCTGGTTTTAGAGGAAGGAGTTGTTTTACCAAGTGCTGTTCTCTGCAAGTGATCCCCTAATGAAGCCAATCACAAACAAATTTCTCCTGAAATTCTACTTTACAGTCATTAGCAGTGAATTGAAAAGCTGGTTTTCAGTAAGAATTCACTTGGGAATTAAGTGCTCATCAAGGCCAGCTGCAGGCTTAATCATGCAGAACACCTGACATGACATGGGTGTGCAGTCTGATTTGAGAACTGGAGGACTAACACTCTATAGAGTTTCCAGGATCACAGGGAAATTCTTTGCATTTTATCGTGACTCTCTCAGGCTGTCTTTTAGAGACTTGAAGATCTAGGCAAAATAATGTTATTCTTATTAAGTAAATAAGAGAACGTCAAAAAAAACACTGAAGGATGTAGGAGGCTCTGTAGCTCAACCACCCTATGTTGTAAGTGGGGAGACTGAGGCCCGGCAAGGTTAAAGCTGGACTCAGCTATGAGTCTTGGATCAGAAGTCAGCCTGCCAAGGTGCCATTCAGTTCTCTTTCCATTTAGGTGGGGCCAAGAATGGTGTCTGAATATCTGTTATAAAAACAACAAAAGAAACCCTTCTTTTGTTTTTTAAGCCCTTTCCTTTCTTTCTCCTTTCTGCAGCTTCGTTGTGTGGAAGATCTTCAGACAATTCAAGTGATCAAGATTTTAAAATATGAAAAGAAACTGGCCAAAATGTGCTTTTTAATGATATTCACCTTCCTGGTCTGTTGGATGCCTTATATCGTGATCTGCTTCTTGGTGGTTAATGGTCATGGTCACCTGGTCACTCCAACAATATCTATTGTTTCGTACCTCTTTGCTAAATCGAACACTGTATACAATCCAGTGATTTATGTCTTCATGATCAGAAAGGTAAGCTTTGCAATTAACTGATTGTTTTCACCCTGGGCATAGAGTTGGAAATGACAGTGTAATACTTTTACAGAGGTGATTCAGAGTCGCTTCAATTAAAAAAAAAACAAGAATTTTTTAGGAATTAAAGGGATCTGGAAGAAATGTAGAATATTTCCAAAGAAAATCATAACAATTCTAAGAACTACCCATAGGGATTCACACTTGTTAGGTAGAATTCTAGTAAAACTAATATTTAATTCATCAGAAAATAGTTTATGCCTAGTAATAACAGCTACAATGTTAATAATACATTTAAAATTCCTACTGTACCAAGCAAGTTACAAGCAAGTCACAAACAAGTTACAAGCCAGTTTACAAAACTCCACAAAATAGGCACTAATATTATTCCTTGTTTTATTTATGGGTTATGAATAAGTTCAGAGAAGTTAAATAACTTGCCCAATCCAGGAAGTATTGGTGCCAGGATTTGAACCTAGTTTGCTCAAATCCCCAAATCCAGTGCTTATAACTCCTCACTTGGGGTTATAGATACTTGTAGCAATTGGCCTGGGTTGTTATTCACATGCCACAGCAAATGTCTAGCCTAAATTAATTTGGTTCAAGAAACTTCCTGGGCCTGGTGTGGTGGCTCAAGCCAGTAAACCCAGCACTTGGGCATGCTGAGGCAGAAGGATTGCTTGAGCTAAGAGTTCAAGACCAACCTGGGCAACATAATGAGATGCCCCGCTCTCTCAAAAAAAAAAAAGAAAAAATTAGCTGGGCATGGTGGCATGTGCCTTAGTCGCAGCTACTCAGGGGCCTGAGATGAAAGGATCTCTTGAGCCCAGGAGGTCAAGGCTGCAGTGACCCACTATCGCACCAGTGCATTCCAGCCTGGGCGACAGAGCGAGACCCTGTCTCAAAAAGAAGAGGAACTTCCTTATCATCTGTTTCTGTAGTTGAAAGGTTTTGACTTGATGGCTATGAGTCATGGCTAGGAGAGCCCACAAAATGATTATTATAAAGCTGAGCCTCTACGTTTCAGAGAATTTAAAAGTTAAAGATAATGCTTAATTACTCCATTGGAATTTTAAAGATAACAGGTCATAATAATAACAGGCAATAATAATCACTGTGACTTCTAATGCTCAAGAATGTGGAAGAAGAGGGCACTTTTGTAATAACCTTATTATGTTCAGTGCTAAATCTCTCTGCCTCTTATTTTGCCTTTCCTTCTCTTTGAGTATTATTGGCTTACACTCTCCATAAACTCACTTTCACCTGCCTTAATCTCCTCTCACTGACAGTGTTTCTTTCCCTGTTTTGTTGCCTTCAATTGGTCTATTTCCTTTAACCCAGAGATTTTAAACTTGGAGTCCATAGGACCTAAACATTCCTTGAGTTGGCCTCAGAAGAGCCACTGAAACCCTGGAAATTGTTTATAACAATTTTTTAGTATGCACACATATGAATTTTTCTAGTGAGATGGTTTATAACTTTAATTTTCTATCAGAGGTTAAGATATTTTAGGGACCACCCTCTCAACAGACAAAATTAAAATACATTAACTAACAATTATTTGTTGCACTCTTTCTCTCAGCCAATGGGCTATAAATTAGTGCTTCTAGAACTTTAATGTGCATACACCACACCTGGAAATCTTGTAATAAATGAATATTCTCCTTCAGTATGTATGGTTGCCCAATATTCTGCATGTCTAACAAGCTCCCACATGGTCCTGATGTTTCTGGTTCCTAAGGGCATACTTTAAACAGGAAGTCTAAAAGATACAAACAAAAACAAATAAATAAAAACAACGGTCCTTGTCCTCAAAGAGCTTACCATTTATATGGAAAAACGTTTTTTGGCATACATACTCTATTTAACCTTTACAGTAATGTATCTTTAACACTTAACCAAACAATGGTTTAGTGAATAAAGTCTCAAACAAATATTTTTATTTTTTAAATTTTTGAATCAGATAGAAAAAATAAATATTTTTAAATGTGAGTATAAACTGAATGCTAACTTGCATAAGATTGGAGCTCAAGACATTATCAGGCAGTGTTTGCTGTAAAACAAAACAAAACAAAAAACAAACAAAAAAGACAGAAATCAATGTAGCTATTTATTATATTTTTAATTGGTATTTCCTAATCTGAGAAAGTCCATATATTCAACATTTATTTCGCTCTAAATAATGGGATAACAATTACATTAACTTTTGATTTATGTTTTACTGGTCATGATGGACCGACTACTATAACAAGCAACCCCAACATTTCAGTGAATTAATACAGAGTTTATTGCTCATTTCAGGTCACAGTTCAGTCTAATAATGTATTGGGTGGAGGAGATGGGATCTGTCCTATGCAGTCATTTAGGAATCTAGGTTCCTTCCATTGTGTGATATTATGATCTTTAGGCGTTGGCCTCCCAGGTTCTTGTAGAGAGGAACAGCAGAGAGGAGAAGCGGAAAGGAGGCCAAGAAATATTATTCGATGTTGTACCCAGGACACGGAGAAGAACAATGTTTGTTGATGACATTAGTGCTGTCTGCTATAGTATTTTTTTCCCCAACTGATTAGTAATTTCGATAGAAAAAAAAAATTCTTCACCTAATTAAAGAGACATTAGCAAGTACACCAGGCTGTAAACTCTGCCAGGAAGAGCCTTATCTGTTTTTGATGCTTATAGTAAAAAGTCTCTAATTATAGCACAGTGGCTGTCACCTAGTAGATGCCCACTGAATATTTGTGGACTAACTTAATGTTCAAAATCTCTTAATAGTTGTACCTGCCCTCATAGAAAGTGTGTGCAGATTGAAGCTTGGAGGATTACAAGGTATTGAAATGGTCCTACATATTCCGGTTAATAAGAATTAGAATGAATAAAAGACATAAAGCTCTGGGGTGATTTAGGTAGATCTGAGCATGACCACATAACCCCACATCCACACCTGCTAACAAACAAAAAACAACTTAAATTCAGCTCAACTGATTTCCTCGAATGTTAATCCAGATTAGTGCCCAACTTTTACTTAATATTCCACTTTATTTTTTCTCTGCCCAGTTTCGAAGATCCCTTTTGCAGCTTCTGTGCCTCCGACTGCTGAGGTGCCAGAGGCCTGCTAAAGACCTACCAGCAGCTGGAAGTGAAATGCAGATCAGACCCATTGTGATGTCACAGAAAGATGGGGACAGGCCAAAGAAAAAAGTGACTTTCAACTCTTCTTCCATCATTTTTATCATCACCAGTGATGAATCACTGTCAGTTGACGACAGCGACAAAACCAATGGGTCCAAAGTTGATGTAATCCAAGTTCGTCCTTTGTAGGAATGAAGAATGGCAACGAAAGATGGGGCCTTAAATTGGATGCCACTTTTGGACTTTCATCATAAGAAGTGTCTGGAATACCCGTTCTATGTAATATCAACAGAACCTTGTGGTCCAGCAGGAAATCCGAATTGCCCATATGCTCTTGGGCCTCAGGAAGAGGTTGAACAAAAACAAATTCTTTTAATTCAACGGGTGCTTTACATAATGAAAAAACCACTTGTGGCACACGATGGGCATCTAACATCATCATCTTCTAATGTGTTGGAGATTTTCATTTCAAATATATTTTTTAAATTACTCTATTTTCCAAAACACGTAATGCATTTTTCTCGAAAATACCTTACTGTAAAAATAACTGTCGCGTACACATGTGTGAAGTAGCTAGAACATACTGAATTTTTTTTGTACTGTTGGACTCTATTCAGTGTCATGTCCTATATCTGATCAAGTTATCAAGGAGATAATTCTAGAATGAAAAAGAAAATCCTCTTGTTGGAAACAAAAGACGTTTTATATGTGCAGTATGACAAAGAGGAGTTTCAGAGACAACTTTGAATCCTTGTCAGCCTGGAGACCAGCACCAGAGGAATCTACAAGGCAAACTCCCATATATTTGCTTCCCCCAAATTGCTGCCCCTACAGACTCAAAGCTCTTTTTCTTTGTTTTGTTGTTTCTCTAAAAATTTACTGTTCTTTGTCGATGCTATATAAGCCAGGGAGTTCTAAGACGCCAGCTCTTTG
Organism: Homo sapiens; assembly: GCF_000001405.40. Taxonomy (NCBI): domain Eukaryota; kingdom Metazoa; phylum Chordata; class Mammalia; order Primates; family Hominidae; genus Homo; species Homo sapiens. Next base: position 241,593,683 of record NC_000001.11, on the reverse strand, counting down.
AGATTTGCTCATTCCCCTGTATTTCCCACATATATATTACATATACCCGCTAATAAATTTATGTTTGTTTTTCTCTTGTCAATCTGTCTTTTGTTATAGGGGCCCCAGCCAAGGAACCTAAAGTGGGTAGAAGGAAAAATTATTTTTTCTTTCCCTACAAACTGAACATGGATTATTAGAACTCAAGGTTTTCATTGACAATATAGAAAAGAAACACTGAATCATTTTATTTTATTGCCCAATTTTTATTTCTTATATGACTCTAGTGTTTCATCTTCATAATTAATCATGTTTGAAGGATTTCTGAGTGACTCAGCAGCCTGTTAAAGAAGGATGAACCAAAGAAAACATTTCACTAAATGTGCTTTTAAAAATCAAGTGTATTGCTGGTTCTGCTGCAGTATGTAGTCGAAGAATAAATTAGTAAATTGCTTCTGAGGGTCTGAAATTGAATAAAGTAATGGCTTTGTATTTCTATAAAAGTTGTCTCCCCTTGTTTCCTTTCCATTCTGGCACATGTAGACATTTAATTTATGAATAAAACCCTTTCCTGTCCTTCACTTAGTATGATATTAATAGCCTTTTTCTTATCTTTAGAGGGTAACTCTGGGCTGGCAGCGGTGGCTCACAACTCTAATCCCTGTACTTTGGGAGGCTGAGGTGGGCAGATCACATGAGGCCAGGAGTTTGAGACTGGCCTGGGCAGCATGGCAAGACCCGGTCTCTACTGAAAAATACCATGGTAGCCCCAGCTATTTGGGAGGCTGAAGTGGGAGGATTGCTTGAGCCCAGGAGGCAGAGGTTGCAGTGAACCCAGATCTCACCACTGCACTCCAGCCTGGTCAACAGAGTGAGACCTGATCTCTAAATACATAAATAAATAGAGATAGATAGATAGATAGATAGATAGATAGATAGATAGATAGATGATAGATAGATAGATAGATGATAGATAGATAGACGATAAACAGATAGATGATAATACTTATATTTGAAGGTGGGAAAATAAAATGAGTTCATTTTGTAAGTCTCTGGAACTCCCCTGAATTCCTTATTTCCATTTCTGGTTTTATCTAGTAAGTCTGAGCCCTGTGGTTAGGTAAGTTCCATTCACGTAATGAAAAGTGCAGTTAACATGCTAGTTAAGTTGTGATTTTTAGTCCTAGGTGTTGAGTCAATGCTGTTGCGAGTCCTATTGTGTCTTTTAAAGAAAAGGCATGATTACTGTCTTCCCTGAGGCATCTAGGGCCTTACTTTCAGAGAAGTGAAGGATCTTAGTCATTGCACTTTTATAGTTAGAATGACTCAACCTGAGTGTGTGTAATGTAGGGAAGCTGCATGTTTCATCTTTTAAAATGCACCCCCCAACCAGTAATTGCAATTAACATACAGAGATACTCTACATTCAGTTTAATTATAAGCAGAACACTATCTTCCACTAGTGAATCAAATATGGCAATGGAAACATTTTTTTCATGCTTAATTTTGGTCACAGAGAAATCATGCATTTGCTACCACAAAACCTTTCTATCACCTGCTAATGAGATTGGAAATTTGTTCTAGGGAGTCCACGGCCTTTGCGGGGAAACATGTTGTATTCCGGAAGTGAGCTATCCAGTTCCATGGTCTTCTCAAGCGGAGGAAAGATCGTGGTGACATGTAGTGTATAAGTAGGTAGGTACTGCTGATGGCTATCAGTGATCCCAAGAAAAAGAGTCCTTTGTTTATCACCTGTAAGACAGCAAGAACTCTCATTTCATTTGTCCAGAGATTAAAATCTGAAAATAGACTTCATTTTTTAACAACAAAGGGGTAAACAATGTCCTCTTTGTTCTTTAACCTGAAACAACAATTTACTTGCATGACCACCAGATCAGGAACTGATAAGATCAAGATAAAGTCAAGGATTGGGAGCCTCCCTTCTCCCTCTCTCCCAGGAAACTCATGAATCCAGGTCTTCTGTATGAAAAAAATTTAGCAGTCAGCTTTTGTCCAGCCATTAAAAAACCTTTGCAGTTTAGAAAAAGAGCTGTGAATTCTTAGAAGAGTACTGCTGTGCTGGGGCCACACATCATTCATTCCTTCTCAGAAGCTTCCCAAAAGTCTCCAGGAGAAGAGTGGTGGCCTGGTGGCCTCTGTGACTAAGACTTATGTGGAGACTAAACACCAGCTGTAAACAGTGGCCTGAGGCTCATTCCAGCCTGAGTCAGGTGCTTTCCCATGGCATCCTGGCCTATTTCTTTTCTTTTTTTTTTTTTGACAGAGAAATCTACTTGAATACTCACATGTAAAAGTTACACATCACAAGAGATTGGACAGTAGCTTAGCATAACTAACATAGCTATAGTGAAAATCATTTTTATAAAAAATAATCTAGATGTGGTCATCAGAATTTTTGGTCTGCTTAAGTTAATGTTTGAAGATTGACTTTTATCCCTCCTTGAAGGATTTGCCTGGCCTATTTCTATCCCCGCACTTACTGTCCTGCATTCTAACTGCCTGCTGGTATCTTTTCCCCTTTTAGACTTTCAGCTCCTTAAGGGTGGGGGCCCTGTTTTATTCATCTTGCACAGATAAACCTTGATTTCTTCCAATCCATTCTCCATATAGACATCTTTCTAAAATCCATACCTGAGTCTGCTGGCCTCCCTGGGCTCCCTGTTTCTCTCAAGATAATACTCCAGGTGTTTAAAGCCCCGCCTCCACCCTCTGACCATTCTCACACACTGTGCTGCCTTCCAGCTCCACTGAAATATGTTTCTCATGTGTCTTCCGCCTTCCCCTGTCCTGGCCCCTCCTGTTCTCCTCGGGGGCAGTTTATCTCTCTCCAGTGCCACTGTCTGTATCCCCTACTAGCCTCTGAGCTTTGTGAAAGGTGTGAACTGGTCATGTTCATCACCATGCCAGCTCAGTGCTATCTATGTACCAAATAAAACTGTCTGTTGAATAAATGACGTTGTAAAATCCCCAAAGTGGAAGACTAGGGAATCAGAATTCCTTCCATTTAATGGCTTCTCTAGGCCAACTGCCCAAAATGGATGTATTATAGCATTCCATTGGAATAGATCTTTTAAAAGTGATTCAGTTCTGTCTAATTTTACAAATTAAACTCATAAGAATATTGCATGAAGCAAAAATCAAGAACAGTACATCTTGCTAAAATAAAGTAAAAAGTTGAGAAATATTAGCATCAGTTTCTATCTTGAGATTCTTCCCTTCAAAAGCTCTCTTTGCCACCTCCTTGTAATGTTTTTCAGTAAGCACTGTTCCCTCTCTGTACTCAGGACAGTTTCTGTTTGGAAGGCAAACAGTTGGTGTCTGTCCCATTATTTCTGTATTTGTTGGAAACAAACATAATCATAATACTATGACATTTCAAAACACCACATTAAAAAATAAATAAAATGTAACTGTTCCAACCTTTTTTTGCCAATGCCAACGCTGCACAGCCTCATGGTATCTTATTCTGGAAAAAGTGACCTGCAGGGAAGTTTAAAAAGTATTCTTGTGTATTCTTTAACAGCTAAACAGAAAATCAAAATGAGGAAAAGTCTTCAGTCCAGACCTTACCATTGTATAGAGAGGGATAAAGGTCGATGGCATAATCGCATGAAGAAATCTCTCCATGTTCTTCTGAAAAATGAACCAGCTTGAGTTGACATGTGCTCGCATCTGCAATAATGACAGTCTTAAAGAACGCTTTTGAACAAATACAGCTATTTCTCACTGCGACTTAGTATTATTCTTCATTCCCACTCATCGCAATGCCAAACACAAAGTAGTCAAATAATTTTTTGTTTCCATAATGTCATTCCCAATCCATTTTGGTAAATGTCGGTCATATAGGACGTTGCCTCGAAAATGTACAGCAATTACACGAAACCTGCTAGGGAAGTTTATTTTGCTCAGGGTTCAATAGAGGAAGTCAATTTCAGCAGAGGGTTTGTTTAACCAGAACTGCAGGCAATCTGTGAGCTCAAAGATTTGTCTAATTTTCTGTTGCTTCCTGGTTGTTTTGTAATATTGCTTACGGCAAAAAGAGATTGTTTAAAGCTATGTTTGTCTGGACCTACTCTTTCTTTTAGGACAGATACTGTGTCGTAGCCATCCCGTTTTTAAAGGAGAAGACAAGATACATCAATAAAGCCTACAATATCTTGTAGGTTATCCTCTACCACATCTGATGCAATTTTGCTCAAGCTGAAGTCCAGTTTCTTTCTGTCTTCAGGAGAGATGGCAAATAGCTGGTCACTCTGCTTTAAATTTATCTTGTAAATCCTTTCATTTTATTATTTTAAAACTATAATCACAATCACTTACCATGAGCTTTACATGTGACTGGTTCAAAATGGAATTAATATGTTTTTTTTTCAAAGTACTAATCTTCCTGAACATGAATTTCTTTTTGGTATTATGCATTTTTTTTTAGTGCATAAGTTTCCAAAGGATAATCAATGCTACTCTAAATATGCAAGTTATAATGTTATGAGTGAAAAGGCCATTCAACATTTCTTAGATTTTCTAAATATGTTGACACATCTGAAAGTTGTATTTTCATTAAAGTAACATATTGCTAAATGTCTAAGATAAAAGCATGTGAATTATCAGAGGTTTTGTTACCTCCTAAACGTCCTTAAAGTGTAGATAGAGATAATGTGTATTGGTCATTGCCACTGGCCAGAGTCACAATCCACCCAAGTCTAAGGAATGCTATGTGTGTGTGTGTTTTCTTATCTGTAGGTATTCTTATATAGCATGCATGAGATGGGGGCTGAAGCAAAGAAAAAGAAAAGAACACTTGTTAGAATATCAGTGAACCATCTCATGGAATAAAGCCAAACCTTCTCACTCACCTCTATGTAATTGTACATGGATAGGTCTGAAATCGCGTGATCATCTGGGATTCTCAATCTTGAGAACACAGGAAGACACAAACCTGTAAGTTAAATAATACATCTTTCCAAAACCTTCTATAAAAATGTGCTGAACTCTACACAGGTCAAATTAAATGGTACGTTCACTACCAATGCTCTCGCTAATTTTTTTAAACTATAAATAACCATTCTGTATAACCAACAATCTATGACTATTGACAATACACAGAGCATTTCCTGTTGTGATTAAATAAAAATTACAACAAAATTAATCTATATTATTGCTTTATCTTTGTTCTCTAGTGCCCCAAACCAGCGTTGACAGTGTGTTCTTATGCATAAACCCTCTATCAACCTCCAACGTCATGTGTAAACCAGTCACGCGAGCACAAGGAAAGGAGGAAACAAAATATCTCTGGCTCCTGAGCATCTGAGAGAGATGACTGGGAAATAACCAAAAAAAAAAAAAAAAAAAAAAAAGAAAAAAAAGATGAGAAAATTTGTCCTGGAATTCTATGATCTCTTCAGACCCAGGCACCAGTATTCTTGGACTTTCTAAAACACCACAGCAAACATATACTATGAACTTACTTTACGGTAGGCTTTTTTTTTCTTTTTAAAACTTTATAGAAATTATTCAGTGTTCACAACTCTGAAGTTGAGAGTATCATCCCCACTTTATAGATGAAAAAGAACGGAGGCTTTAGAAAGATGAAGTGATTTGCTCAAGATCACACAGTTAATAAGTTGGCAAGTCAGGACTTGAAACTGGGTGTAAGTTTAAGGCCAGTTCTCTAGTCTATCCTTTACCTGAAACAAGTGTAAAATCAGAGGTGGCCTTTGAAAGCACGTGATGCTGGGAAGTAGGAAAAGGTTATCCAGTTCTTAGGCTGTTGTTTGTGCCTTCTTTTATATATGTAATATACAAACCCTCCATCCACCTCCATGGTCATGTGCAAACCAATCACATCAGGACTAGGAAGGAAGGGCGGGAACAAAATGCCTCTGGCTCCTCAGTATTTGACAGAGATAACTGAAAAATAATGAAAAAAAAAAAAGGAATTTATGCCGGGCATGGTGGCTCACGCCTATAATCCCAGCACTTTGGGAGGCAGAGGTGGGTGGATCACTTGAGGTCAGGAGTTCGAGACCAGCCTGGCCAACATGACGAAACCCCGTCTCTACTAAAAATACAAAAATTAGCTGGGTGTGGTGGTGTATGCCTGTAATCCCAGCTACTCTGGAGGCTGAGGCAGGAGAGGAGGCGGAGGTTGCAGTGAGCCAAGACTGAGGCCACTGAACTTCAGCCTGGGCGATGGAGTGACTCCATCTCAAAAAAAAAAGTATTAGATGCAATCTTTGATAGGGCAAAAAACACTGGAGCTTCTAAGTGTTTCTGAGGATGTGTTGTAGGGTGACTGTCCCCAACCCTCGGTCCATGGCCTGTTAGGAACTGGGCCGCACAGCAGGATGTGAGTGGCAGTTGAGATGGCATTACCGCCCAAGCTCCGCCTCCTGTCAGATCAGCAGTGGCATTAGTTTCTCATAGGAGCGTGAACCCTATTGTGAACTGCACAGGCGAGACATCTAGCTTGCACGCTCCTTATGAGAATCCAACTAACGCCTGAAGATCAGAGCAGGAACAGTTTCATCCTGAAACCATCTCCCCCCACCCCCTGTCTGTGGAAACACTGTCTTCCGTGAAACCCGTCCCTGGTGCCAAAACGTTGGGACTGTTGCTAGGAGGCGCAGGCAGAGGGTGTTACCTAGGCTGAAAAGGGAGAGAAAGCAGCCTATTTCTGCCAAGCACGGGTACTCTGAGCTTTAATCTCTGAGTGAATCACTTCATGGACCTCCACATAGAAACTTCAAAAGAAACTATGTTTCTTTTTCTGGGTGTTAGTTGTTGCTATGGGAAAACGGTGGCATAGACTATTAGTAGAAAAATATGTAATCCTGGGGAGATAATATACATTATACATCACAGGTTTGTGATCATTGAGGATCAGAAATAAGCCCACAATTAGTCAGAAGAGCTAGTACATGTCCAGTTGAGAAATTGACCTTACTTACTAAGGTCGTTACTGAATTTATCCATTAACTCATCAAATACCAAGCAGTCTTCAAAGCCCTGAAACAAGAAAAAAAAAGAGAAATAAGAAACTAGAAATAATAAAAAAGAAACCCTTATTATTGATTTTGAATAGATATTCCATTGGTGAAGATAATTCATACACTGTTTATTCTCAACTAGTACATAGCAGTTGAGTTGTCACATGGTATTGAATTATGGTTAAAAATGACCATCGGGCCTGGACGTGATGGCTCACACCTGTAATCCCAGCACTTTGGGAGGCCGAGGTGAGCGGATCGCTTGAGCTCAGGAGTTTGAGATCAGCCTGGGCAACATGATGAGACCCCATATCTACTAAAAATACAAAATAATAGCTGGATGTGGTGGTGTGTGCCTGTGGTCCCAGCTACTCGGGAGGCTGAGGTGAGAGGACCACTTGAACCTGGGAGATGGAGGTTGCAGTGAGCCGAGATCGCTCCACTGCACTCCAGCCTGGGTGACAGAGCGAGACCCTGTCTCAAAAAAAAAAAAAAAAAAAAAAAAAGACCATAGACTTCATGCTTGGCAGTGTTATCTTTGTCCAATTTACATATATATGATACAGTGATCTGAAATTCGACCAAGATTTTACATTACTGTTTTAATTTTGATAGATTCCATTACTTCTTTGAGAAGAAGAAATCATTATATTGCTCTACCATAAGTTTTAGAATTATATTTAAACTCATTCAAGTCTTTAAGATTCATATTTAGAGCAATTTAATGATAGGATAAAACTACTTATTAATTTAGTTCCTATAACTCAAGATTAAAGCAATATTAAGAAGTCCACAAAATTAGTAATGTACTATACTAAATACAGAGAGGATGGAGAATTGAAAACAATGTTTCCTGTTTCCTAGGAATTCAAGCTACAGCTTTAGAGGTAGTATAAAGATTTTTTTTCTTTTTGGTTTTTTTTTTTGTTCTTTTTTTTTTATTTTAGATGGAGTCTTGCTCTGTTGTTCAGGTTGGAGTGCAGCACAATCTCGGCTCACTTCAATCTCCACCTGTTAGGTTCAAATGATTCTCCTTCCTCAGCCTCCCAAGTAGCCAGGATTACAGGCGTGCACCACCACGCCCAGCTAATTTTTGTATTTTTATAGAGATGGCATTTCACCACATTGGCCAGACTGGTCTCAAACTCTTGACCTCAAGTGATCTGCCTGGCTTGGCCTCCCAAAGTGCTGGGATTACAAGCGTGAGCCACTGTGCCCGGCCTTAAGATATTTTTTAAATAAAATATTTTTCACATCAATTATAAAGATTACATCTGAAACAAGCAGATTTATTTGTCAAATCAATTATATAGTCTCAATACTATAGAAGTGAGAGATACCATATGGGGCTGAGATAATAGTTTTATATTCTTTTGTTTAAGTTAATTCATTTACTCTTCACAACTCTCTGAGGTAGACATTATTAAAATTCCAATTTAATTTAATTTAATTATTAATTAATTAATTTTGAAATGCAGTCTCGGTCTGTCACCCAGGCAGGAGTGCAGTGGCACAATCTCGGCTCACTGCAACCTCCACCTGCCAGGTTCAAGCGATTCTCCTGCCTTAGCCTCCCAAGTAGTTGGGACTACAGGAACCCACCACCACACCTAGCTAATTTTTTTTGTATTTTCAGTAGAGACGGGGTTTCACCATGTTGACCAGGCTGGCCTCAACCTCCTGACCTCAAGTGATCCACCTGTCTCGGTCTCCCAAAGTGCTGGGATTACAGGCGTGAGCCACCACACCTGGCCTAAAATTCCAGTTTTATGGATAAGAAAGTAAAGATAAGGTAAGTAAATTGCACAAGAATATATTTGCAGTAAATTCTGGAGCCAGGATTTAAAACTAAGTATTCTAATGTCAGGTCCTGGGCACTTATCCACTGTGCTACAGTTAATGTCTTATGTTTTTATAAAACAATATGTTTACCACTGCTTCATGGAGAATATAATTGATTAGATTCAAAAGCTATTTTTACTTGGAATATATGCCAATGACCAAAATAATATATGATTAATGATTATGAAGCTATTAGTGCACACACACACACAAATTAGGATTCCTTGAAATGAATGTTCAACTTTTAAACGCTATTTCTTTTCTGAATTCTTTTTCTGGCCAAAATAGTAACATTTCCATGAAGGCAGTAGTGTTCAACATCTAATCAGCTCATAGTTTTACTCAACCTTGTCAATCAGGTTTTGCTTTCCTTTGGAAAGAAAAAGTAGAAAAGAAAGAGATCCTTGAGGAATCGCCACACTGTCTTCCACAATGGTTGAACTAGTTTACACTCCCACCAACAGTGTGAAAGTGTTCCTATTTCTCCACATCTTCTCCAGCACCTGTTGTTTCCTGACTTTTTAACAATCACCTTTCTAACTGGTGTGAGATGGTATCTCATTGTGGTTTTGATTTGCATTTCTCTGATGACCAGTGATGATGAGTTGCAAGGACAGAAAACCAAACACCTCATGTTCTCACTCATAGGTGGGAATTGAACAATGAGAACACATGGACACAGGAAGGGGAACATCACACACCGGGGGCTGTCATGGGGTTGGGGGATGGGGGAGGGATAGCATTAGGAGAAATACCTAATGTAAATTACTAGTTAATGGGTGCAGCACACCAACATGGCCCATGTATACATATGTAACAAACCTGCACATTGTGCACCTGTACCCTAGAACTTAAAGTATAATAAAAAAAGAAAAATAAATAAGTAAATGAGATAAATGTTTATTATTTTCTTTCTTTGAGGCTAATGTTACATATTTATGCATAGTGCCTAGAAAAAATATATTTAAAAAATTAAGTCTTGAATTGCTGATAGCCAAGTTTCCAAATTTTGAGCTATTGGTACATTTTTTCTAACTGAACAGAATACTATATGGTCAGCCACATATACCCAAGTTCTGGATATATGGACTCAGTCAAGTTTTGATTGGAAGTATTTTTTAAAAAACAATAAAAATAATGCAACAAAAAAGAATACAAATAAAAATACAGTATAACAATTATATACATGACATTTATATTGTATTAGGTATATGTATTATAAGTAATCTATAGATGATTTTAAGTACCTGAGACCCTCTTCTTCAACTCCAGGCAGTGCAGCTTGGGGAAAAACTCCCTTCACTTGGGGAAAGGAGAAGAAAAAGTATAGAGGTCTTTGTCTTACTAGTTAGTTAGGTACCAGCTAAGCCACAATAAAATAAAGCACCAAGTAGTTTCCTGAAGCCCCTGATTCCAGGTCTTAGCTCCTGGATGGCATTTCTATACCCACCCTGGGGCAGAAGGGAATTTTCTGCCTTGAAGGCAATGACTGAGTCCTGGCAGGGTTCACCACCTGCTAACTAAAGAGCCCTTGGGCCTTGAATAAACATCAGTGGTAGCCAGGCAGTAGTCACCATGGGCATTAGGCAAGACACAGTACTGTGTTAGCTTCAGGTATGACCCAGCACAGTGCCAGCTGTGGTGGCCACAGGAGTGCTTGTGTCACTCCTCCCCCAACTCCAGGCAGCCTAGCATGGGGAGAAAAACTCCTTGTGGTTCAAGGAACAAAAGAGAAGAGACTGAGATACTTTGCCTAGTAACCCAAGGAATTCTCCCTTTAGGACAATGCTTCATTTAGAAGCACCATTGTGCCTCTAGGACTTGGCAAGAGTTGTAGCATTCCTGGGCTTAGGGCACCTCCTAGTACTGATACAGCTGCAGTGACCATAAACTTAGACCGCAACACTCATTCCCCTTGGAATACCTGGAAAGCTATTTCAAGAAGGACAGGTACAAACAAGCCAAGAATGTGAAGACAAAATAGACAAAATAGACACCTAATTCTTCAACACCCAGATATCAACAAACATCCACAAGCATCAAGAACACCCAAGGAACATGACCTTACCAAACGAACTAAATAAGGCACCAGTGACCAATCCTGGAGTGACAAAGATATATGACCTTTCAAATAGAGAATTCAAAATACTCGTCTTGCAGAAGTTCAACAAACATCAAGATAATACAGAGAAGGAATTCAGAATTGTATCAGATAAATTTAACAAAGAGATTGAAATAATTTTTAAAAATCAAGCAGACATTTTGGAGCTGAAAAATTCAATTGAAAAATGCATCAGAGTCTCTCAACAGCAGAATTGATCAAACAGAAGAAAAAATTAGTGAGCTGGAAGACAGGCTATATAAAAATACAGTCAGAGGGAAACAATAAGAATAAAAAAGAATTAAGCATACATATAAGATCCAGGAAATAGCCTGACAAGGGCAAATCTAATAGTTGTTGGCCTTAAAGAGAACATATATAGAGAGAGACATAAGGGTAGAAAGTTTATTCAAAGAAATAATAATGAAAACTTCCCAAACCTAGAGAAAGATATGAATATCCAGCTACAAGAAGATCATAAAACACTAAACAGATTCAAGCCAAATAAGGCTACATCAAAGCATATATTAATGGAACTCTCAAAGGTCAAGGATAAAGAAAGGATCCTGAAAGCAACAAGTAAAAATAAGCAAATAACATAAAAGGAGCTCCAATATGTCTGGCAGCAGACTTTGCAGCAGAAACCTTTAGGACAAAAGAGAATGGATTGGCATATTCAAAGTGCTAAAGGAATAAAAGCTTCCAATTTAGAATATTGTATGCAGCAAAATTATTCTACAAACATGAAGGAGAAATATGTTCACAGACAAACAAAACCTGAGAGATTTCATCAACACCAGATCCGTCTTACAAGAAATACTCAAGGGAGATCTTCAATATGAAAGAAAAGGATGTTAACAAATGAGAAAAAAAATCACCTGAAGGTATCTAATTCACTGGTAATAGTAAGTATACAGACAAATACAGTATACTATTAACACTGTAACTGCAGTATGTACATATCTTTAGTAGAAGGACCAAAAGACACATTTATCAAAAATAATAATTACAAGAACTTTTTAGAGACAGTATAAAAAGATATATATAGAGACAACAAAATGTCAAAATGCCAGGGGGATGGAGTTAAAGTGTAGAGTTGTTTAGTTTTCTCTTTGCTTGTTTGTCTTTTCTTTTCTTTTCTCTTTTTTTCTTCTTTCTTTCTTTTTCTTTGTAATCCGGGTTAAGTTGTCATCAGTTTAAAATACTTGGTTGTAAGATGTTATTTGCAAGCCTCATGGTAACCACAAAACAAAAACCTATGATAGGTACACAAAAAATAATAAGCAAAAACTTAAAACATACTACCAGAGAATATCACTTTTACACAAAGGAAAACAAGAAGGAAGAAAGAAGAAGAGGACCAACAAAACAACCAGAAAAGAAGTAACTGTATGGCAGCAGTAAGTCCATACCTATCATTAGTAATACTGAAACTAAATGGAATAAATTCCCTAATAAAAATACATAGAGCAGTTGGATGTATAAAAAGATAAGACTCAACTATATGCTGCCTACAAGAAATTCACATCACCTATAAAGACACACATCGACTGAAAATAAAAGGATGGAAAAAGATATTCCAAGCAAATGGAAATCATAAAAGAGCAGGAGTTGCTATACTTATATGAGACAAAATGGATTTCAAGACAAAAACTCTAAAGACAAACAAATGAGTTCATTATATAATGACAAAAAGGTCAATTTGGTAAGAGAATATAATAGTAAATATCTATGCATCCAACACAGGAGCACCCAGATATAGAAAGCAAATATTATTAGAACTAAAGACAGTGATAGACCCCAATACAATAATAGCTGGGTACTTAACACCCCAGTTTCACCTTTGGACAGATCATCAAGACATAAAATAAAGAAAAAGTATGTAAGAAATGGACCTAATATGTATTTACAGAACATATTATCCAAAAAAGGCAGAATACATGTTCTTTTCCTTAGCACATGAAACATCCTCAAAGATAGGTTGTATGTTAGGTCACAAAAAAAATCTCAAAAAATTTTTAAAAATTGAAATCACATCAAGTATCTTTTCTGACCACAGTGAGATGAAACTAGAAATAAATAACAAGAGAAACTTTGTAAATTATACAAACACATGGAAATTAAACAATATGCTCCTGAATGACCACTGGGTCAATGAAGAAATTGACCAATAAGGGAATTTAAAGATTTCTTGAAACAAATGAAAATGGAAACAGAACATACCAAAACCTGTGGGACACAGCCAAAGCAGTACTAAAGTTGAAGTGTATAGCAATAAATACCTACATCAAAAAAGTAGAAAAACTTCAAATAAACAACCTAACAATTGTATCCTAAAGAGCTATAAAAGCAAGAGCAAACTGAATCCAAAATTAGTTGAAGAAAGAAAAAATCTTTCCCCCTAAGACAGTGAATTGGAGGCAATGTTAGCATGCCTCTCCCACTTGGGAAGATAAAATGTGGTGTAGAGATATGTAGAGATATATGTAGAGACTATGTAGAGATACACACTGTGAACTTTTTTCCAGGAGGCAACACAGGAACTTAACAGGAAAACGGAAGGAAACCATAAGACCCTTTAAAAGAAGAGATAGGCTGCTGCAACCTATACTATAAGCCATGTGAAAAATTGTTAAGTCCTCAAAGTGTGAGAGGGTGAGAGCCTGCCTCCAGGATATAAATCCCCACTGGGGAACCTGGCAATCCAGTCCATGGGGGAAGGCGTTAACCCTACCAAGCACTGGAACTGATTTAGTGAGCAGTGGGAAATATAAAAGCAGGAGCAGCAGCTGGAAGAGACTTTTGGACATTCCCGGTCTCCAGTACAAACCAAGGGAGGTTATTCCTGATTCTACATTACTGGGAACCTCATGGAAGTCTGCAAGCTAACTCAGGCAGCAGTCACAGGTTGAGAGAAGCTCCCAACTAAAATCTGTGATATAATCTCGAGCAGGGTTGAACTCTCTTGGCCAGAACTGGGAGGTGAATGGGAAGTGTGCTACAGCCACGAGTGCAGAAGCTGGGTGCCCTGGATTTGTGGGTGGACTGGGAGGGGAGTGGCCTGAAAGTCACCAGTTGCTGTCTCTGAGGAGAAGGCTTATGGCCTAGGACAGTTTTGAGTGTAGACTTCCTGGAGCTTAGCTAGCTGTTGCTAGCAGAACACTGTGGGTGTAAGACCTGCCTTGCCAAGTGCATGGAAGCTGGGTGGAGCTTACTGCCGCCTGCTACTCCCTAATTGCTGGGCAAACTCTTCAGTGAAGCAGAGGCAGTTGTCCTCATCCCTGAAGCGTTACCTTAGTGGCCAGAAAACTGTCTCCTGGCCCCCACAGGGAATGCTGCTTGCATGGACCTGCCCAGCACAACTCTGACCTGGCTTCACCCCTCCACCTACCCTGGTAGCTTAACACAAAAGACAGAAACTTTTGGGAGCTTTATAACCCTGCCCATCACGTAAGAAACCAGAGTACCTCCCCTAGGTAACATAAGGCAAGCAGAAATCCCACTGCTACCACCAAACCTGGTGCTCTTTTGCAAGTACAACCACCTGGCAGAAGCCAACTGACACAGTCCATTACAGACAGCATCTGCAGGTAGAATAACCTGCACTCAGGAAGGAGAAAATTTGTGTATGACCTCAGCTATCACTGTGATATGGTTTGGCTGTGTCCCCACCCAAATCTCATCTTGAATTGTATCTCCCATAATTCCCATGTGTTGTGGGAGGGACCTGGTGGGACATAATTGAATCATGGGGGCAATTTCCCTCATACAATTCTCGTGGTAGTGAATAAGTCTCATGAGATCTGATGGTTTTATAAGGGAAAACCCTTTCACTTGGCTCTCACTCTTCTCTTGTCTGCTACCATGTGAGAAGGGCCTTTCACCTTCCACCATAATTGTGAGGCCTCCCTAGCCACATGAAACTGTGCATCCATCAAACCTCTCTTTCTTTATAAATTACCCAATCTTGGGTATGTCTTTATCAGCAGCATGAAAACAGATTAATACACACCATTACCTACACCACCCTGGCTAACCAGGAAGTTCTAAGTCTGTCCACATAACCAGTTAATTACTCCTACAACCAGCATTTGAAATAGCCAACACACTAAGCCTATTTATAGCCAAGGAATCACAGAGTCTATGTCACTCCCCTCCATCTGAGCTGGTACTGGTACCCACTGCTGGAAGACTTAAGGGCAGGTCACATTACTGGATCCCTTGCAGACATTCCCCACAGTGGCCTCAAGTGTGGCAGCTCCACTGTGTTGCTGGACCTAGAGGAGCAACAGCATTCACAGTAGTCTAGCTCTCAGGGACTCCTATTCCCAGGGGAAAGAGGAGTGTACCACATCAATGAAACATGCCATGGGACAAAAGAATCTGGAGAGCAGGACTTGAGTCCCACATCTTTCTGCTGGTGGGAAGTTTATTTCATCAGAGTCATGTTTGCAGTGCTGGGCTCAGCAAGAAAAGTCTGCAGTTCTAACCCAATAGTCAAGCAGCGCTGGTGCTCATGAAGAGTCTTGGAGAAGAGGACTTGTTTTCCTCCTCATCCACCACTGCAAACACAGTGGGAATGGGGCTTCTCCCATGGAAGTTTGGTAAGGGTGGCCTATAGACAGCCATTCAGGAACACTTCAGGGTGACTGCCGCCCCACATGAGGGAGCACCCCTCAGGCTCAGGCTTGCACAAGAGGGAGAGTCACAACTCCTCTCTACTTGGAACATCAACATTCCTGCAGATGGAAAGAGGTGCCTGTCTGATCTGAATAGCCAGAACACTGGGTCAGGGATGTATCTGGGAGGTGGATCACTTTCCAGTTGGCCTGGCAGGGGAGGCCAGAAGGAAAAGGGGAGAGGTGGCTCCCACCGTTTCCCCTGAAAAGACTTCAGTGTGTTTCACTGAGAGCTCCCCCAACCACCTCTGTCAAGGCTGGGGCCTCTGACCAACATTTCATATTGCATTTACCCACCTGCTTTAGCCATAAATAGTTTCTGCCCAGGGATACCTTCTCTACTGGCCTGAAACCTGAGCTATTCAACTCAGTAAATAAAATACTGGGGAAAAAATAAATAAATAAAAAAGTGCACATCATGGGAAACGAGATGAGCCTCAAAATATCTCTACCATTCCAACCCCATAGGAGACCGTGAACTTGTACACACACCAAGCACATTGCTACTACAACCAGCATCTGAGAAAGCCAGTCATCAAACAAAGACTCTCCATAACCAAGGAACCCACAGAGTCTTCAACTCTGAAAGCACCAAGAGCCGAATTAGGCTACAATAAACTATAAACATTAAAATCACATCCTTAACAGGGTAAAAAGGAAATTAAAGAAAAACACAGTTGAATCAAAAATAAATTTAAAAATAATTAGAAGAAATAGCCTACCCAAATTAGAAGGAACCAGAAAAATAATTCCGGTAATATGACAAAACAGGGTTCTATAACAACCCCAAAAGATCACACTGGCTTTCCAGCAATGGATCCATACCAAGATGAAATCTTTGAAATACCAGATAAAGATGTCAAAACATTATTAAGTTACTCAAGAACATGCCAGAGAAAGGTGAAAAACAACATGAAGAAATTTAAAACATTCAGAATATGAATGAAAAATTTCCTAAAGAGATAGATATTTTACAGAAAAAACAATCAGAATTTCTAGAAATGGAAGACACATTTAAGGAATTACAAAATGCAGTGGAACATTTTAACAACAGGCTAGAGAAAGCAGAAGAAAGAATTTCAGAGCTCAAAGACAAGGCTTTTGAATTAACCCAATCAGACAAAATAAAGAAAATATAATCAAAAGAAATGAACAAAGCCTCAAAGAAATATGGGATTATGTAAAATGGCCAAATCTAAGAATAATTGATGTTCCTGAGGGAGAAAAGAAAGTAAAAAGTTTGGAAACTAATTTGAGGGAATACTTTTCTGACCCTGCTACAGATTGAGATATGCAAATACAAGAAGCTCAAAGAAGTCCTGGGAGATTCATTACAAAAAGAACATCACCAAGGTGTATGTTATCAAGCTATCTAAAGTCAACATGAAGGAAATAATTCTAAGAGCAGTGAGACAAAAGCATCAGGTAACTTATAAAGGAAAACTAATGCAGACTTCTCAGCAGAAATCTTACAAGTCAGCAAGGACTGGGGTCCTGTCTTCAGCCTCCTTAAACAGAATAACTGTCACCCAAGAATTTTATATCCAGCAAAACTTAGTTTCATAAATGAAGGAGAGATAAAGGCATTTTCAGACAAATGCTGAGGGAATTTTTTACTACCTAATGAGCCTTACAAGAAATGCTAAAAGGAGCTCTAAATCTTGAAACAAAAGGTTGATATGCACAAGTATAGAAACTCTTGAAAATGTAAAACTCACAGAGCCTACAAAACATAACACAATGAAGAAAACAAAGTATCTAGGTAACAATTAACATGATGACTGAAACAGCACCTCACATCTCAATACTAATGCTGAACGTAAATTGTCGAAATGCTCCTCTTAAAAAATATAGATTGTCAGAATGGATAAAAACATCAGAAACCAAGTGTCTGCTGTCTTCAAGAGACTCACCTAACACATAGGACTCACACAAACTCAAGGTAGAGGGGTGTAAAAAGATACTCCATGCAAATGGAAACTGAAAGCAAGCAGGGGTAGCTATTATATCAGATAAAACAGACTTTAAAACAACAGTTAAAAAAAAAAAAAGACAAAGAAGGCCATTACAAAATGATAAAAGGATTGATCCCACAAGTAGATATTACAATCCTAAACTTATAGGCACCTAACACTGGAGCTCTTAAATTTATAAAACAATTAGTACCAAATCTAAGAAATTAGGTAGAAAGCAACACAGTAATAGTGGGGACTTTAACACTCCATTGAGACAGAAGTCTCAATGATCTGTCTAGTGCTGTCAATGGAATTAACCACATTCTAGAAAATATAGATCTAACAGATATTTACAGAACATTCTATCCAAGAACTGCAGAATGTACATTCTTCTCATCAGCACATGGAACATTCTTCAAGATAAACCATATGGTAGGTCATAAAACAAGTCTCAATAAATTTTAAAACATCAAAATCATATCCAGTTATCTTCTCAGCCCACAGTGGAAAATTAAACTCAAGATTAATTCCAAAAGGAAATCTCTAAACTATACAAATACATGGAAATTAAACAATCTTCTCTTGAATGATTTTGGGGTTAACAATGAAATCAAGATGGAAATTTCAAAATCCTTTGAAATGAATGATAATAGTGACACAACATATCAAAACCTCTGGGTTACAGCAAAAACAATCCTAAAAGGAAAGTTTATAGCATTAAATGCCTACATCAAAAAGTTCAAAAACATCACAAATTGACAACATCATGTGACACCTCAAGGAACTAGAGACACAAGAACAAACTAAACCCAAAGTCAGCAGAAGAAAAGAAATAAACAAAGATCGGAGGAGAACTAAATGAATTTGAAACAAAAAATACAAAAGATCAACAAGACAAAAAGTTGATTCTTTGAAAAGACAATCAAAATCAATAGATCATTAGCTAGTTTAACCAAGAAAATATAAGAGAAGATTCAAACAAGCTCAATTAGAAATGAAACTGGAGACATTACAATGGACACCACAAAAATACAAAAGATCTTTTGAGACTACTAGGAACACCTTTTTGCATACATACTGGAAAACCTAGAGGAAATGGATAAATTTCTAGACATGTACAAAACTTCTAGATTAAATAAGGAAGAAATAGAAACCTTGAATGGACCAATAACAAGCAGTGAGATTAAATCAGTAATCGAAACAATTGTCAACAAAAAATAAAAGCCCAGGACCAGAAGGACTCACAGTTGCATTTTACCAGACATTCAAAGAATTGGTGCCAATCCTACTGAAACTATTCCAAAAGATTGAGACAGAGGGAATTCTCCCTAACTCATTCTATGAAGCCAGTATCATCCTGATACCAAAACAAGGAGAAGACATAACAAAGAAAGAAAACTACCAACAAACATCCCTGATGAACATCAGTGCAAAATCCTCAGCAACATACTAGCTAACCAAATCCAACAGCACATCAAAAAGATAATACACTATGTTCAAGTGGATTTCATCCTAGGGATACAGGAATGGTTTAACATATGTAAGTCAATAAATGTGATACATCACATAAACAGAATTAAAAAAAAAACCATATGATCATCTCTACAGTTGCAGAAAAAGCATTCTATAAAATCCAGAATCACTTTATGATGAAAACCTTCAACAAACTAGGCATAGAAGGGACTAACCTCAAAATAATAAAAGCCATATATGATGAATCCACAGCCAACATCATACTGAATGGGGAAAATCTGAAGAATTCCCCTTCAGAACTGAAACAAGGCAAGGATGCCCATTTTCATCACTTTTATTCAACATAGTTCTGGAAGTCCTAGAGAAAGTAATCAGGCAGGAGAAGGAAATGAAGGACATCCAAATTGACAAAAAGGAAGTCCAAAGATCAATGTTTGCTGATGATATGTTTGTATACTTAGAAAACCCTAAAGACTCATTCAAAAGACTCCCAGATTTTATAAATGAATTCATTAAAGACTCAGGTTATAAAATCAATGTACAAAAATCAGTAGCGTTGCTATACACTGACAACAACCAAACTGAGAATCAAATGAAGAGCTTACTCCCTTTTATCACAGCTGCAAAATAAAATAAAATACCTAGGAATATACTTAACCAAGGAGGTGAAAGATCCCTAAAAAGAGAGCTACAAAACACTGCTGAAAGAAATCATAGATGACACAAACAAATGGAAACCCATTCCAAGTTCATGGATTGGAAGATACAATATTGTTAATATGACCATACTACCCAAAAGCAATATACAGATTCAATGTAATTCCTATCAAAATACCAACATCGCTTTTCACAGAATTAGAAAAAAACAAAAACAATTCTAAGGCTCATAGGGGACAAAAAATGAGCCCAAATAGCAAAAAGAACAAATCTGGAGGCATCACATTACTGGACCTTAAATTATACTACAAGGCTATAGTTACTAAAATAGGATGGTATTGATATACAAGTAGACAGATAGACCAATGGAACAGAATAGATAACCCAGAAATAAAGCCAAGTACGTACAACCAACTGATCTTCAATAAAGCATACAAAAACATAAATTGAGGCAAGGACACCCTATTTAATAAATGGTGCTGGGAAAACTGGATAGCCACATGTAGAAGAATGAAACTGAATCCCTGTCTCTCACTTTACACAAAAATAAACTCAAGATGGATAAAAGACTTAAACCTAAGACCTGAAACCATAAAAATTCTAGAATATAACCTAGGAGAAACTCCTCTGGACATTGGCCTAGGCAAAGAATTCATGGCTAAGACTCCTAAAGCAAATGCAACTAAAACAGAAATAAATAAATGGGTTGGGCGCAGTAGCTCAGGCCTGTAATCCTAGGACTTTGGGAGGCCAAGGTGGGCAGATCCCTTGAGCACAGCAGGTCGAAACCAGCCTGGGCAACAGGGCAAAACGTCTCTACAAAAATTAGCAAAAAATACAAACTGTACAAAAATACAAACAATACCAATACCAAAAAAGACACTTGCATGTGTATATTTATTGTAGGACAATTCTCTATTGTAAAGATATGGAACCAACCTAAGTGTCCCTTGACCAATGAGTGCATAAAGAAAATGTGGTATATATACACCATGGAATACTACTCAACCGTAAAAAAGTATGAAATAATATTTTTGCAGCAACTTGGATGGAGCTGGAGCCCAATATTTTAAGTGAAATGACTCAAGAATAGAAAATCAAATACTGTATGTTCTCACTTATAAGTGGGAGCTAAATTATGAGTACAGAAACGCAGAGTAATATAATGGGCTTTGGTGACTCAGAATGGTGAACGAGAGGGGAGTGAGTGACAAAAAACTATATTGGGTACAGTGTACTCTACTCAGGTCACAGATGCACTAAAATCTCAGACTTCACCACTATATAATTTGTTAATGTAACCAAAAAACACTTGTACCCCAAAAGCTATTGAAATAAAATATATACATTAATTTAAAAAGAAAATAATCTCAATAGGAATTTTTTAAAGTTTCTTTAAAAAATAATAAAGATCAGAGCAAAAATGAACTTGAGGCTAAAATATAATACAAAAGATCAATGAAACAAAAAGTTGGTTTTTTAAAAAATAAACAAAATCAACAAACCTTTAGCTAGACACAGAAAAGGGAGAGAAGACTCAAATAAATAAAATCAGAGGTCAAAATGGAGACACTGATACCACAGAAACTCAAAGGATCATTAGAGACTATTATGAGCAACTACATGCTAATACATTTGAAAATCTAGAAGAAATGAATAAAGTCCTAGACACATACCAACTTACCAAGATTGAATCATAAAGAAATTCCACCATTAACAAGTAACAAGATAGAAGCAGTAACAAAAAGTTTCCCATCAAAGAAAAGCCCAGGACCTGATGGGTTCATTGCTGAATTCTACAAAACATTTAAAAAGGAACTAATATTGCCCGGGCGTGGTGGCTCATGCCTGTAATCTCAGCACTTTGGAAGGCTGAGGTGGGCAGATCACAAGGTCAAGTGATCGAGACCATCCTGGCCAACATGGTGAAACCACATCTCTACTAAAAATCCAAAAATAAGCTGGGCATAGTGGCACGTGCCTGTAGTCCCAGCTACTGGGGAGGCTGTGGCAGGAAAATCGCTTAAACCCGGGAGGTGGAGGTTGCAGTCGGCAGAGATTGCACCACTGCACTCCAGCCTGGCAACAGAGCGAGACTCCATCTCAAAAAAAAAAAAAAAAAAAAAGGAACTAATATAAATCCTACTCAAATTATTCCAAAACATTGAGGAGGAATACTTCCAAACTAATTCTAAGAGGCCAGCCTTACCATAATACCAAAACTAGACAAAGACGTAACAAAAAAAGGAAACTGCATGCCAATATCTCTGATAAACATAGATGCAAAGATTATCAACAAAATGCAAGCAAACCAAATTCAATAACACATTAAAAATCAGTCATTATGATTAAGCAGGATTCATCCCAGGGTAGCAAGGATGGTTCAACAAATACAAATCAATAAAAGTGATACCTCATATCAACAGAATGAAAGACAAAAACCATATGATCATTTCAATTGATGCTGAAAAAGCATTCTGTAGAATTCAACATCCCTTCATGATAAAAATTCTCAAAAAACTGGGTATAGAAGGAATATATCTCAACATGATAAAAGCTGTATATGACAACACCACAGCTAGTATCATACAAAATGAGGAAAAACTGAAAATCTTTCCTTTCCTCTAAAATATGGAACAAGACAAGAACAACCATTTTCACCATTTTTATGCAATGTAGTACTGGAAGTCCTAGCCAGAGCATTTAGACAAGAGAAAGAAATAAAGAACATCCAAATTGGAAAGGAAGAAGTCAAATTATCCTAGTTTGCAGAAAATATGACCTTATGTTTTACAAAAACCTAAAGACTCCACCAAAAACACTATTAGAACTGATAAACAAATTTAGTAAAGTTACAGGATACAAAATCAACATACAAAAATAAATAGCAATTCTATATGCCAAGAGTAAACAATCTGAAAAAGAAACCAGGAAGGTAATCTCATTTACAATAATTACAAATAAAGTAAGATATCTGGGAATTAACCAGAGAAGTGAAAGATCTCTACAATGAAAACTATAAAACGTTGATGAAAGAAATTGAAGAGGACACAAAAAAAGGAAAGATATTCCATGCTCATGGATTAGAAGGATCAATATTGTTAAAATGTCCATATTACCCAAGGCAATCTACAGACTTAATGCAATACCTATAAAAATACCAGTGTCATTCTTCACAGAAATAGAAAGAATAATCCTAAAATGTATATGAAATCACCAAAGACACAGAATAGCCAAAGCCATCCTGAGCAAAAAGAACAAAACTGGAGGCATCACATTACCTGACTTCAAATTATACTACAAAACTAAAGTAACCAAAACATCATGGTACGGGCATAGAGACAGACACATTGACCAATGGAACAGAATAGAGAACCCAGTAATATATCCACATTCAATTTTAGCATTGACTCAATTTTAGCAAAGGTGCCAAGAACATACACATTGGGGAAAAGACAGTCTCTTCAATAAATGGTGCTGGGAAAACTAGATATCCATATGCTGAAGAATGAAACTAGACCACTATCTTTCACCATATACAAAAATAAAATGAAAGTGGATTAAAGACAAATCTAAGAGTGGAAACTATGAAACTAGCAGAGGAAAACATTGAAGAAACAGTCCAAGACAGTGGTCTGGGCAAAAATTTTCTAAGTAAGACCTCAAAAACACAGGCAGCCAAAGCAAAAAACAGACACATAGACCTTTGGAACAGAATAGAGAACTCAGAAATAAATAGGACAAATGGGATCATATCAAGCTAAAAAAAAGTTTCTGCAAAGCAAAAGAAACAATTAACAAAGTGAAGAGACAACCCACAGAACAAAGTAAAATATTTGCAAACTACCCATCTGACAAGGGATTAATAATCAGAATATATAAGAAGCTCAAACTCAGTCAGAAGATAACGAATAATCCAATTTAAAAATGGATGTTTTAAAATTGATAATATCTGAGTCGGCATTTCTCAAAGAAGATAATACCTGATTATTAAAATAATAAAATAATAAAAATAATATCTGAGTAGGCATTTCTCAAAAGAAGACATACAAATGGCCAGTGGGTATATGAAAAATTGCTAAACTTCACTAATTATCAGAGAAATGCAAATCAAATATACAATGATATTATCTCACTTCAGTTATAATGGCTTTGATCTGAAAGACAAGTGATAACGAATGCTGGTGAGAATGTGGACAGAGGGGAACTCTCGTTTGGTGGGAGTATAAATTAGTACAACCACTATGGAAAACAGCATGGAGGTTCCTCAACAAACTAAAAATAAAACTGCCATATATGGCAGCAATCCCACTGCTGGGTAAATATGCAAAAAGAAAGAACATCAGTATATTGAAGAGATATCTGCACTCCCATGTTTATTGCAGCACTATTCACAATAGCAAAGATATGGAATCAACCTAAGTGTCCATCAATGGATGAATGGATAAGGAAAATGTAGTACATATTCACAATGGAATATTATTCAGCTATAAAAAAAGAATGAAATGCCATCATTTGCAACAACATGGATGGAACCAGAAGACGTTAGTGAAATAAACCAGGCACATAAAGAAAATTATCACATTCTTTTTTACTCATATGAGGGAGCTATAAAAATTAAACTTATGGAGATAGAATGATGCTCCCCAGAGACTGGGAATGGTAGTAGGGTGGAAGTGTAAAGTGGAGATAGTTAATGGATACAAAAATAGTTAGATAGAATGAATAAGATCTAGTATTTGGCATCACAATAGGGTGAATGTGGTTAACAATAATTTATTATATATTTTAAAATCACTAAAAGAGAGGAATTTGGGGTGTTTCTAATACAAAGAAATGATAAATGCTTGAGGTGACAGATACCCTAATTACCCTGATATGGTCATATACATTGTATTCCTGAATCAAAATATTGCATGTATCACATAAATATATAAAACTAGTATATATCCATAATAATTAAAAAATTTTAAAAAATTAGATGTAAAAATGGATACGGGAGATTCTCTGTAGGTTATATACAAAAACTATGCCATTTTACAACAGGGACATGAGCATCCATGGATTTTTGTATCCACAGGGGTCCTGGAGCTGATCCCTTGGTGATACCAAGGGATGAGTGCGCTATGCTTTCTGCTTTTTTCTACTATGGATTACTGGATTGATTAAACCAAATTCTGATTAGAGTGATCAATCTAGCTACACAGCTGGTATGATTGCTGAATTGATTGTGCTTTCAGGGATTATGTGGGGATAGTCTTAGACATATTTTTTACGTAAGACTTGTTAGCTGAGACTGACCCAGAAGTATTTGAGGGACTTACCTAGGGAAAAAGAACTTACCGCATTCATTCCTTGCCCAAAAAACGGCACTATAGCATGAGCTGCATCTCCCAGCAGTACACAGTGAGATTTAAAGTGAAATGAAGAGCACTTTACAGATATCATGGGCTGGGCAGGCAACAGGAAGAAATCTTGCACTAGGAGTTTCCTTCAAAGGAAAATAATCCGAATATAAAGACATCAAATTAGGTATTAAATCCTGCTAAATTCTTTCAGGTTTACTAAATTAACTATCACGAAGTTTTGTTGAAAAACAAGAATGCCAAGAAGAAAACAGAAAAGGGAAAAACTGAAGTTTTTCCAGTCCTAAAATTCCATTATTCTAATTACCTTCTTGGTCTGCAACAATGTTAATCACATTAAAAATAAAAGTTTGGCTGCATTTGAATAATTTAAGTATTTCTGTATCATATATTATTAAAACTTTGTTATCATGCACCTGGGCCATGAGATTTTCAAATGCAGCAGTGTATTTTAGGTTTCCATAAAAAATTGAGCAAATGCTACTGTGCATTTGATTAGAAGACAATAAACCAAAATTGAAATTAATGTGAATCTTTATGTATTTGGAAATAGATAACAGTAATAAAACTAGCATTTGGGGGATGGGAATAATTTGTTCAAGTGGTACAAACTTTAAGTTAGACAGGAAGAATAAATTCAAGAGATTTATTGTACAACATGGTGCTTATAATAAAAAACAAACAAAAACCCTAATATTTGTAAAGCATCTGTAGAAGAGTTGAGGAAGCTCTAAGTAGACAAATGGTACCTAGCCTCAAGAATCTTAAATCTGGCTGGAAAGGCAAAAGATAGCCATGAAACCAGTTTGAAAGTACACAAGGTCTAATTCTGGTGTGCAGAGATTTATCTTCACAGCTGGAGAAGGTGGGATCCATAGAGACTAAATTAGTCTTCAGGGAAGGAAGTGACTAGCAATTTTTAAAAGACCTGCTATGGGCCAGCAGTGGGTTATCCCTTTTACATAATTAGCTCATTTAATTTTCACAAATGCCCCATGGTAGATACCCATTTTAAAGGTGAAACTCAGGGAGGTAAGGGGAAGAAGCAGTGTGAAAATCTTGCTCTGCTATAGACTGAATGTTTATGCTCCCCTAACATTCCTATATTGGAATCCTAATCTCCAATGTGATGGTATTTGGAGATGGGGCCTTTGGGTGGTGATTAGGTCTTGGGAGTGGACCCCCCATTAGTGGGATTAGTGCTTTTATAAAAGGGACCCCAGAGAGATCCCATGCCCCTTCCAGCATGTGAAGACACAGTAAAAAGACTGTCATCTATGAACCAAGAAGTGGGGCGTCACCAGACACCGAATCTGCTAGTGCCTTGATCTTACACTTCTCAGCCTTTAGAACTGCGAGCAATACATTTCTGTCATGTATAAGCCACCGAGTCTATGGTAGTTTTATTATGGCTCACTGAACTGACTAAGGCATGCTCTCTGTAGCATTGCGCTGCCTTCATGAAGACATCATTGGAGGTGTCTAGAGAGACAACTTAATATGCGCTAAGCCTTGTGCTGAATGATTTATAGACACGATCTCATTTAGTCCTCATGACAACCCTTTGGGATAGGTTCTATTATTTATCAACCTTTTCCCACGAGTGGAATATGGGAAAGCTTACGTGTCTAGTAAGTGTAGGATCCAAGATCTGAGGCTGCCGGATGTATCTGCTGTGCCAAAGATTTGTGTATCTACCAGTAGAAAAAAGTTCAGCCAGTTCCTGTGGCACGCCAAGCCCCAAGGAGCCTGAGGAGCCTGCATAAGATGCCCAAAAGCCTCGGGACATTGGTGGCTCATCTTTCCCGGAGGAACTGGCCACGTCAAGGGTGTTTTTCAGAATTCCTGCTCACAGCACAATATCCACTTAGACTTTTGCTCTAATGTAGGTTTCTGTCCAGGTTACTGCATGATCCATCGTGTTTAACCCAAACTGAAATCAGGTGCATAACCTTTATTTGAATTT
Organism: Homo sapiens; assembly: GCF_000001405.40. Lineage (NCBI taxonomy): Eukaryota > Metazoa > Chordata > Mammalia > Primates > Hominidae > Homo > Homo sapiens. Next base: position 241,566,658 of record NC_000001.11, on the reverse strand, counting down.
GGAATAATTAAAACAAATGGAGCAAAAGGCACATCTTGCAACTTACTCTCCAATTAGAGGGATGGCATCCGGAAAGTATTTCTGGAAGAAATCTACCACATCATTACTGGTTAGAAGTTTTTCAAACTCTTCAAAGGGCATGAACAAAGTACATGTGAATGATTTGTTCTGTGAGAAGAAGAGAAACAGAGTGAAAGGGGATGGGGGCCAAGTGACGCTGGCACTAGGTGGCTCCTGAAATCACAAGACTTCTTGCTGTGACCAGGGAGCTTTTGGAAGGAATGTCCAAGCAGACAGGAAAGGCACTGTCACTTTGTTCCCCTGCTCCCAAAGAAAAGCTCTGCAAAGTCCCAGGGGTGCTCTCCAGCTTCTTTGATTATTCGGACAATTTCTATATTGTAAACTCTCCATTTTCACACAGCAAATACTACACTCTTTTTTCTTTTTCTTTTTGAGATAGAGTCTCACTCTGTTGCCCAGGCCGGAGTGCTGTGGGGCAATCTCAGCTCACCGCAACCTCTGCCTCCCAGGTTCAAGCGATTCTCCTGCCTTAGCCTCCTGAGTAGCTGGGACTACAGGCACCCACCACCACACCCGGCTAATTTTTTGTATTTTTAGTAAAGACAGAGTTTCTCCATGTTGGGCAGGTTGGTCTGGAACTCCTGACCTCAGGTGATCCACCCACCTCGGCCTCCCAAAGTGCTGGGATTACAGGCATGAGCCACCACGCCCAGCCTACAGTCTTTAAATTACTAATAGGTTGGTTAGATTTGACATCTCTTTTTCTTCCTTTTAGGATTGTATTACTAGGCCCTGGACCCCAGGACAGATACCAACAGAAACAAAAAAGACCCCAACCAGAGAAACAGCTATATCTACCTAGGAAAAAAGTCTCTAGGGTCTAATGAAAGAAAAGCCATGCTCTCTTTTTTTTTGAAACAGGGTCTTGCTTTGTTGTCCAGGCTGGAATGCAATGGGATGATCACGGCTTACTGCAGCCTCCATCTTCGGGGCTCAAGCAATCCTCCCACCTCAGCCTCCTGAGTAGTTGGGGATGCACGTGTCACCATGCCTGGCATTTTTTTTTTTTTTTTTTTTTTAGTAGAGGCAAGGTCTTGCTATGTTGGCCACATCAGTCTTGAACTCCTGAGCTCAAGCAATCCTCCCGCTTTGGCCTCCCAAAGTGCTGGTATTACAGGTGTGAGCCGCTGCGCCCATCCCCATGCTCTCTTTTGATAATGCGTATTCCAATGTACTACAGACCTTAAAGGCTGAATCACTTCCTGATAGATAACCTAAATCTCTTTGGCTTTACTGGAAGGGCTGTTTCCTCCTAAATTGTCTTTAGTGGAGATGACAGGCACCACCACACATAAACTCTTGTTATCCATTCATGTAAGTTAAATCTCCTTTCCAAAGTAAATAATTGGAAATCCTTCAGATTTTTCCTCAGTAATCCCAAAGTTTCAAAGCTATAATCACTAAATGGATTAAACAATGAAGAGATCAATTAGGTAGATACATTCTAAGTACAAATGTAAGTAATAAACAACATTAATTACAAATGCAAAATTACAGTTGATAAAAAATTCTATACTACCATGTTAGGAAGTGCAATCATCATAAAGGTATTTCTAGGCCAAATATGCAGATAATTAGGTTCCATGGCATACTGCAGAAAAAAGAATATATGATTGATTAGTGCATTCATATAGCAAACCTATAAAACGGACTCAGCTTTATAATAGTTTCCACAGTAATTAAAACCAGTAGCATCTACACGATGATACGCACATCTATTGCTACATAAAATAGAAGTTGTCTTAGAAAACACTTTGTGTTCTGTCTTTATAAACTCAACCTTAGGTAGGTTTTTGATACCAGGTATATTTCAAGATTTCAGAATACGTGCGTGTGTGTGTATATGTAAGGAAAAAGACAGAGAGAACATCTTATGTTCTCAAATCTTGAATCATAGCTGGTATAATTATACCTGGTATATATGTACACACACATGCACATATCTAGATGTGTACATGTGTGTATATGCACACATATATAATGTATGCACATACATTATATATTTATATATATATTTTTTACTTTATCTTTTGCCTTATTTCAGAACTTATCTATACTGGACAAAAAGGTCTTACATTTAAATTTCATGAGCCAAACCAAAATTTTAGAAACAAGCTTCTTATCGTTTGTTTCCTATAACATAAATAATAGAGAAGAGTCTTATCTCTTTAGTGGGTCCTCTGTAATTACTATTAATACAATAACAGCCTGAATAAGTATTAATTGCTTGGGTAGATCAATTGACCCAAAGACCCAAGTGACGCACATTTTTGAAGGTTCCCAGGGGTATTATATACATAGAAATATGCAATCAACTTTCCAATTATTTCATATTTGTATTATTTTCTACAGATGTTTTGAGAGCACCTTCCATGTATAGCTTACAGAGTAAGAATACCAAAAAAACAGCATAGTCTTGGAGCTAACATTTTTACACTGTATCATAGTTATTTGTGTCTTAGGTGAAGGGACTGTGTCTTCCTTGTTTTTTTAGCCTCAGACTCCCAAAGAAAGCCCAACACACAGACACAGAAATGAGTACGTGCATAACTCTTGACCTTACAGTGCAGTCCAATAGGCAAGAGGAATACATATGAAAAGCAATTACTTCGCTTTAACAGTAATACTAGTGGTAGAAAGCCATTTACCCAATCTCTTGCCCCCAACTCCAACCATCAGAAGAGTGCAAGTGTCTATTTCACACATTACATGAAGAACAAAAGAAAAAAAAGACACAAAGAAAAATAGAGAAAGTCTCATAAGCTTGTTTTTGGACCATGTCAAAATGCTCCCATGTCTGAGTCACATTGCCATGCCTAAACAATGTTCTTAAAAGAGTGGAGACATTTTTTAAAACCATCAATTATTACTATTTATTATGTATACCTAGAAAATAAAGGGCTTTCTTAAATCTACTTTAGCAAGCACAGTTCTTCTTAAGTCTGGAACAATTTTTCAACAGAATTCTGTTATCCTATATCCAGAGTTATCAGATTCTGGGCCATGAGAGCAGAAGCTATCTGAAAACCAGTACAATAAGCACTAAAAAATTAGCGAATACATTTTGACCATGAGGATGAAACAGAAAGGTAATGAAATGTGAAAATATGGATTTTACTGGCTGATATTTAGTATTTAACAACACTATCCCATATTGACTAGCTGTTTTACCCTTGTCTGGATTTAAGAGGATAGATTAAATCAGCATCTTAAAAATGTATGCTTTATATGCAAATCAAGTATTTAATGTTGTTTGCATATCCATACTTATAAGCCAATATCCTTATTGTTTCTGTTAGCAATTTTTTCTTAACAAGTTCCTACACTTATTTGCTTATGACAACATGAAAACATTACATACCACTTATTTGCCTCCAGTCACATATGGTTTAACCAGGAAATGAGAAAAACACAATAGAAATCACTTTACAACAATTTTCTAGTCATTTTATTTAATAACTATTATTTGATTTAATCATGGTTATAAGAACTCTGGATTGTCAGTATACTGAAGGATTCATCATCAACCTGTTTTTTTCTCCCAAGAGAACATAGACAAACGATATTATTTAAATCCTTTATGTGTTTCCAGTAAGAGGGTTGTAACTTCTCCCTTCCCTTCCCTTCCCTTCCCGTCTCCTTCCTTCCTTCCTTCCTTCTTTCCTTCCTTCCTTCCTTCCTTCCTTCCTTCCTTCCTTCCTTCCTTCCTTCCTTCTTTCCTTCCTTCCTTCCTTCTTTCAAGACAGGATTGGGCTATGTTGCTCAGGATAGAGTGCATTGGCATGATCTCGGCTCACTGCAGCCTTGACCTCCTGGGCTCAAGCAATCCTTCCACCTCAGCCTCACGAGTAGCTGGGACCACAGGCGTGTGCCACATCCCTGGCTAATTTTTGTATTTTTTACAGAGACAGAGTCTCCCTATGTGGCCCAGGTTGGTCTTGATATCTTGGGTTCAAGCGATCCTCCTGCCTTGGCCTCCCAAATTGCTGGGATTACAGGCATGAGCCACTGTGCCCAGACTGCTCCTTTCTTTTTCACTCCAGAAAGCATATCAAACAAGGAAGGACTGAGAATCGTGCTGTTAAAAAGATACCCATGCATCCCATTTATTCTTCATTACAAAGTTCTTGTGATAGGCCTCAAAATGGATCAAGACATGCTGCTGAGAACCACTGCACTAGAATACGCATTCGCGCTCATGGAGCAAGGGTTGTGGGAAGGGGTTGAAAAAGGGCAAGGACTTACATCTCCGTTCTTAGGTGGAATAGTCAACTCCATGTACCCATGAGGAATGTACTGCTGACTGTAATCAAAGCGAGGTTTCTTCATCAGGTGAGATCTGACAGTTGAATAGGCTCCATCACATCCTACAATGAGGTCACAAGTGACATCTTTGGGAACTTTGTCAGATCTGAAAAATAGAACAAAACATCCAAAAGAAAAATATGTCTAGTGGTGAAAATGATGATGTACCTCTGGGTATGAGAAGTAGTGGCTCCATAGATAACTTAGAAAGCTCACTTTCACATGTTTGACTTGGAGCTTTGAGTTAATAGATGTAACATTTAGATGAAAACACTTGTCCCAGTCATAAGTTTGCTTATGAGAATAGCACAACACCATATTGATTAATAAAGACTTGGTAGGCCACAGAAGTGTGACAGGATTTGAGATTTCTGCATGAAGGAGGAGAATCTTGAAAACAGGGCAAGTGTTCCAAGTGTACGAATGAATGTATGAACAACCACAGGATTTTCTAAGAACAATACATTTGTCTTGAGCACAGGTATTAGAAGAAAAGCTTAAGAAAAGAATACAAGGTAGGGAGAGAAAGGAAGGGGAAAAGAAGAGAATCTTGAATGTCAAGATAAAAGATTTTAAAACATTATTCTGGCAAAAGGGAAACTGAAATTATCTATTAGGGGAATGATGTATGAAGAGTTGCAATTTAAGAAAACTTCCTTGGCAGTTTGAAGAGAAGGCCGAATGCCAAAGGGAGCAGAAAACAGGGATGAGGTGATGGCAACACATTATATTACATGTGCAGGAATGAGAGCCGGAAGTACTGTCCTGCAGCTAGAAGGAGGAAGACAGACTCTGAAGCCAGTAGAAAGTAGGATAGACTGGGGAGTGTTATAGATTTAATGGGAGAGGACAGGGGAAAGAACACATCATGAATGATTCAAATTATTCAGGCATTAGTTCTGGGGAAGTCAGGAATGGGATGTGATTTGGGAGAAGTAGGTGATCAAGGTTTTAGATATGTTTGAGATAATGGCAAGATGTTCCAGCAAGGATGTTTGATGAGAAGTTAACATAAATTGATTTGAGCTTCTATAAGGATTTAGAATGAAGAAAGAGGCTTGGACTGGAAATGTTCATCTTAGAGATGTGGTTGTTGAACCCATGAGCGTGGATCCATAGCATATCGCAAGAGTGGGATATGAGGCTTGGAACCTTAGAGGAAATAGAATCATCCAAGGAAAGGCAGAGAAATAGCACCTGGAAAGAGAACAGGAGGAGAGCAGTGGAGGGTCACGTATATTTGAGAGAGGAGAGAGTTTGAAGCACATTAGAGTCACCAGTGTGGAATACAGTACAGTAGGAAGGTGAGCAAGTGTGAGAATTAAGAATTATTGGCATTGGTGTTCAGATGGCCATCAGGGCCTATTTGCAATCTAAAATTCCTTGAATCTAGAAACTATTTGGATGATCCTTTCAATAATCTTTTAACTCTTTCAAAAGAGCCAAAGAACAAAGTTTGCAGATACAATTCTCCACTCCCAGCTTTCACCTCTGAAGTCCAAAACCTGACCCGTAGTTACCCAAGCACTGTGATCATTCCTTCCTCTGGATTACATTTCAACAGCCTGTGGTTAAAGTGCATTTTCACATTGGGGTATTTCTCAGCAGCTGAGGAAATGGAGAAAGAGGCAAACAGAAATGAAATCTCAATTCTTACTTCACTTAATCAAATTGAAATAGTAATTGTTTTCTGGGAACAGTATGGTAGAGAATTTTATTCATAACAATGTAAAAATAAGTTCACTTAAATGGTAATTTGACAACTGTTTGGTAACTATTTCAGTATAATTTGGTAGTAAAACAGATGAATAAAAATCAATTATCCTCATCTCAAAAAGAAAACATCCAACTGATTCCATTGTGCAAACTCTTGCATTGCTGTAATTATTAGCACCCTGGGAAAGAAGCAAGCATCACATATTTCAGAAGTCGCCTCTAATCCGAGGCTTTGTTGTGACTGGAAATATTCAGTCAAACTCCTTTCCTCATATTACGCATGTCTCTATATCTCTTTTTAGCTAGTTTTCTGGAATTCTGATTGAAGTTGTCACAAATAGAGATTGTTGATTTTAAATCTCTTTGAAATCAAACACTGGAATAGTTAGGGGGAAAATGAGTAAGAAGCTTTGAAACCTCTCAATAAACTGAAACAAATTATTTTCGTAATTTTCTGTTTTGCCTGCTAGCACTCTAGAGAATTGAGTGAATTTCAATTTATGAACTATTAATTATGCCCTTGTTACAACAGTAAAATGTGATTTTGTCCCTATTAATGCTCATGTATTCATCTATAAATATAGCCTATTTATTGTTCTTAAAGGTATAAATCAGAATACAGGTGTTAGAGCTGGAATAGACTTCAGAGATGATTTAGTTCAAAATCCTTCATCTTAAAAAAGGAGTAACTAAGATTCTGGAAGTAAAGGTAAAATGCCTGAGATCACACAAAGTGAAAAAATTAAGGACCAAACTCATCAAGTTGTACACATTAATTATGTACAGTTTTTATATGTCAAAAACGTAAATAAAAAGAATGTTGAATTTGAAAAAAATGGGGAAAATAAGGCAGGAGTTCTATTCCTGCCTGTACTTATCTCCTCTCTTCATCTCAATCTTGTCTTATTTTACTCTTTTTTGTTTCAGTTTGATTTGGGGTTTGAAGATTTTAACTTTCTTGCAAAATCTGAGAGACCCTAAACCAAAGAAATTCATCTATGTAGAAGAAGTAGTTTGGCAAATAACTTTGAAGTAATCAGAATTGACCTGATATACTAAGGATATATTTTAGAAACATAACATGTGTTTGTGAAAAAAACTTTTAAAAAATTATGTTTATTTTTTACATAAGTATATAGTATTTTGCATCCTAAATAATTTTTTGTAGAACGTTACTCCTGGGATATACTCCCTAAAAAAACTGTTCCATTGCCAAAGACTAGAGTAATGCTGAATACTCTGTCTTGGGCTATGCTGCCCTGGTGTCCAGCCACAGGTAGTGTTTGAGTACTTGGAGTGTGGCTATCCTAAATTGAGATGTGTTGCCTGTATGGGATTTTGGCAAATTAGAACAAGTATATATAAAAAGAATGACAGTGAATAACTTTCTGATATTGATTACATATTGAAATAATATTTTGGATATATTAGGTTAAAATATCTTTTTTTTTTTTTTGAGACAGAGTTTCACTCTTGTCGCCCAGGATGGAGTGCAATGGCATGATCTCAGCTCACTGCAGCCTCCGCCTCCAGGATTCCAGAGATTCTCCTGAGTAACTGGGATTACAGGCGCCCACCAACACGCCCAGCTAATTTTTATATTTTTAGTAGAGATAGGGTTTCACCATGTTCACCAGGCTGGTCTCCAACTCCTGGCCTCAGGTGATCCACCCCCTTCGGCCTCCCAAAGTGCTGGGATTACAGGTGTGAGCCACTGCGCCTGGCCTAGGTTAAAATATCTTATTAAACATAACACCACCTGCTGCTTTTTTTTTTTTTTAACATGGTTAGCATAAATTGGAAAAGTATACACGTGCCTGGTATTTGTGGCCACATGTTGGACTGTGCTGCTCTGGAAGATCCACAATGCAGACCAAGAATATAATAAAAGCCCTGAGAAGTACTATAAGAAAAAAGACTGAAAACTTGTTTGATGCAAGGTTTGTCAGACTTATTTGGCCACACATCCTTTGTCTGTTTGCTTTGGCTTAATAATTATTAACATCTCACAGAATAGCAGATGAACCGTGAAACAATCCCGCATGAAATGCCGACGTAGGGAAATCATGTAGCAACAATGTTTTCAGAGAGGAGTTTGTGCAGTTAGGGAGAAATGAGAATTTACAATTGATTAAATGTGTGGAATGAAAACCTCCCACATTTGATGCCTCGTAAAGAAAGAATGAACTTTATATGCCCAACAAAGTTTAAGAGTGAAGAGATTCAGCGTTCATTTTATTGATGTATTTATGGCATTTATGAAATTGTGTGCCATGCAGCACATTCCTAGTGAAAGACAATTTGGGGAACTTCTGGTGTGTACACCAAGATTGTACCTTTCCCATGTTTTAAGTTCCTTAGTATTAGCAGATGTTTTATATATAATATTGGAGGCAGAAGTCATAATAATTAAAAGCATGGGCTTTGGAATAAACAGACTCAGATTTAAATCCAGATTCTACCACTTACTAACAGTGTGATCCAAGCTCTCTAAGCCTCCATTTCACCATCTATAAAACGGAAATAAAAGTAATTTCCCCCTCATAGAGTTGTTGAAAGGGTTATGCAAATCTATGCATGTAAAACACTTAAGATACAGCTTGGTGCTTCGATGAATGTTTGCTATTAGTTTTATCTTGATAGATTGAGAGGATTTTTGAAAGACAGTGTCATAGGTCTGCTGTACTGCTTTTTGTAAAAGCTGTTTTGTGGAGTTTTCTTGTTGTTGTTTTGTTTTGATTTTTTAGAGTTGATGTCTTGCTCTGTGGACCAGGGCTGGAATGCAGTGATGCAATTATACTCCTGGGCTCGAGCCATCCTCCCTCCTCAGCCTACCAAGGTGCTGGGATTACAGATGTGAGCCACCGCACCCGGCTGGTTCATTTGCTTTCTTGAGATCAACCTGAATATACCTAGCAAACTGGCTCCACTCCACCCATCTATCCATCCAAAAGGCAGTCTGACAAATATAACTAAGGAAATACAATTAATAATAATACTAAACCCTCTTTCTTGTATCTGGTGAATCAACTAAAGTGAAATTCCTCATAGGCCTCCTCCTCCCAGTTGAATCCCATTACGTTCAATTACATTCAGTAGATATATTGAGGAGATTGTGGAGAAACAAAGATAAATCATGTACAGTCTCTGTTTAAAAATCAGAGTCTACTGGGCTCCATCACGAGGGACTAGTTTAAAAGATAGTAGAAATATTAAGTGGCATGCTTTGCTGGGAATAAATCCGTTGAATGCAAATGCTGAAGGGAGGAAAAGCAACTACAGTGTAGGCTTAGACTTAGTAAGGGATACATGGTGTGTGACTGGATCAACTACGCAAACCACAAATTTAATTTGTAATCCAGTGGCTTTTCCATGAACACGTAGGCTTTTTTTAGTTACACAAATTCACAACTTCAGGGTTCTATTTACACCTTTCTCTTTCTCAACTTTCTATATCCCCTATCTCTCGATTTGTTCTCTTACAAATATCATGAATCTACACTCTACTCTCCAGCCACATTACTATAGCTTTATTCTTGGGCCCTTCTGTGCCCAGAGATTATGGAAATGCCTTGAAGATTGCAACCCTTTCTCAGTCTTCACACTATGGCTTTTCATCTCTCTAAAAGACAAATCTTTATTATTATTATTATTATTATTATTTTATTGGGACTGAGTCTCGCTCTGTCAGCCAGGCTGGAGGGCAGTGGCATGATCTCGGCTCACTGCAACCTCCGCCTCCTGGGTTCAAGCAATTCTCCTGCCTCAGCCTCCCGAGTAGCTGGGATTACCGGCATGTGCCACCACGCTCAGCTAATTTTTTTTTTCTTTTTGTATTTTTAGTAGATACAGGGTTTCACCATATTGGCCAGGCTGGTCTCAAACTCCTGACCTTGTGATCCGCCTGCCTCGGCCTCCCAATGTGCTGGGATTACAGGCGTGAGCCACCACGCCTGGCCCAAAAGGCAAATCTAATTGTGTCACTTTGCAAATTGTTTGAGTTTATCTGTCGTTCCATTAGAGTGTGAGTTCTTCATCAGCGTGAACACTCATTCACTCAGTGCCTAGGAGACCATAGGGATTCAGTATATGTTGAACAAATGATTTCAATTCAGAGAATTGTCAGTGAAGTGGGTGCTAGCACCTGTAATCCCAGCTACTCTGGAGTCTGAGGTGGGAGAATCACTTGAGCCAGGAGTTCAAGACCAACCTGGACAACATAGAAAGACTCTGCCTTTAAAAAAAATGTAAAAAAATTGGTCGTATGTGGTAGCATGTGCCTGTAGTCCCAGCTTCTCGGGTGGCCAAGGTGGGAAGATAGCTTGAGCACAGGATTTCGAAGTTACAGTGAGCCATGATTGCACCATGGCACATCAGTCTGGGTGACAGCAAGACTTCGTCTCTAAAAACTTTAGGCAATTGATATTTTCAAGAAGGACTTCATTTATTTATTTCTTTTTTTGAGACAGGGTCTCACTCTGTTGCCCAGGCTGGGAGTGCAGTGGCACAATCACATCACTCATATCTCACTGTAGCCTCGACCTCCCTGGCTCAAGTGATCCTTCCACCTCAGGCTCTTGAGTAGCTGGGACTATAGGTACACGCTTCTACACCCAGCTAATTTTTTATTCTTTGTAGTGATAGCGTCTCTCCATGTTGCCCAGGCGGGTCTCAAATTCCTGGACTCAAGCGATCCTGGCCTCAGCCTTTCAGAGTGCTGGGATTACAGGCATGAGCTATCAGACCTAGCTTCAAGAAGGACTTTGTAGTGTACATAGTCTTGCTCTTCATAACCCATAAAAAGGAGCAGCAAACAAATCCAATAAATCATATGACAAGATTAGTGTCATGTGCTTTACTCAAAATGACAACTGATGAATCAAACATTAGACTTACCAGTCAATAGATCCTTGTTTAGATTTTCTCTGCTTACAGAAAGAATATACTGCAAGAAAAGTAGAGTAGATACTGTTTGTTTCTGGTGAATGGACAAATATAATTCTAAGTTATTCACTCAGCAATAAAACATATTTATTATTTAGCAGAGGGTTGCAAGCTTAGTTTTATAACCATTTCGCTAAGTGACCTTTGATTTTTTTGTTAAAAAAGATCACTTTAAACAAACACATATAATACAATATCCAAGTTTACACTTAGGCTTTTTCAAAGTTTAATACTTTAAAAATCAAATCCTTCTCTTGTAGCTAAAATATAATTTTCATCAAGAGAGTTCTGTTTTAAAAACAAATCATAAATGTAATATTTTCAGCTTAGGTCTCCAAATTTAGCTCTTAGAAAAACTTCAGTCATGACAGTATCACTAGAATCAAAGTGCTATTTCCTGAAGAGACAACTTTGAAGGATTTCATTTCAATGTAAAAAGTGTGTGTGTGTGCACGCGTGTGTGTGTGTGTTGGTTGTGGCAGGGATGAAGATTGATAGGAATAGGACCAGTCCTTGCATGGAACATGTGTTGGTTGTTTCTGACTTTATAGGACAATTCAGCAAAGCTGACCCTCCCTTGAGGCAAGGTAGACACAGCGCCTATGGGCGTACAATACTTTTTTTTTTTTTTGAAACAGAGTCTTGCTCTGTTGCCCAGGTTGGAGTGCAATGGTGAGATCTCAGCTCACTGCAACCTCCACCTTCCAGGTTCAAGTGATTCTCCTGCCTCAGCTTCCCAACTAGCTGGGATTACAGGTGCCTGCCACCACACTCAGCTAATTTTTTTTTTTTTTTTGTATTTTTAGTAGAAATGGGGTTTTGCCATGTTGGCCAGCCTGGTCTCGAACTTCTAACCTCAGGTGATCCACCGACCTTGGCCACCCAAAGTGCTGGGATTACAGGGATGAGCCACAGCGCCCGGCCACTTTTTTCCTCCTGACTTAAAAATAAACTAAAATCAAAACATTTTTATGGACTCTTAAACGTATTGTAAAAATGTTTTGATTTTAGTTTATTTTTAAATCAGGAGGAAAAAAGTGGCCAGGCATGGTGGCTTATCCCTGTAATCCCAGCACTTTGTGAGGCTGAGGCAAGCTGATCACTTGAGGTCAGGAGTTTAAGACCAGCCTGGCCAACATGGCGAAACCCCGTCTCTACTAAAAATACAAAAACAAGCCGGGTCTGGTGGCGCGTGCCTGTAGTCACAGGAAGCTGAGGCAGGACTGCTTGAACCCGAGAGGCCTAAGTTGCAGTGAGCCGAGATCACATTACTGCACTTCAGCCTGGATGACAGAGTGAGTGAGACTCTGTCTAGAAAGAAAGAAGGGAGGAAGGAAGGAAGGAAGGAAGGAAGGAAGGAAGGAAGGAAGGAAGGAAGGAAGGAAAGAAAAGTATTATGTAATAAAAAATATGTAATAATAAATCTGGCCTGGATTTTATTAATCTTTATACCAATGAACCCATAAAATCTAATTTTTAATATTTATCCTTTTTCTAGAAAAGGAGCCCATGGAGGCCAAAGTGCCCACCTGGGGCCCATTAAAGTCATAATGCAAGCTGGTAATTCAGGGTGAATCTATTCTTTAAAACTTTAAAGCATATAATTTTCCAAATTATGGGACATAACAAATATTTTTAACACATATACACTAATTTATAAATCTTCACCTCATCCAAAAGTAGAAGTATACATTGGCAGCTAAATCTATACTTGGTGTAAAAATAACTTGGTCAGTGGCAATGACTGAAGAGGAAATTCTGGTCTTTGTATAATTTAAAATGAACAGAAACATCTTCATTCTCTGCCTCAAAGCTAGGTTATTAATAGACTGTATTTCAACAGAAATCAAACTTGCTATTTAAATTATGTTAGGAAACATTCAAATTATAAAGCTTTTTTAATTTTTAATTTTTTAAAAAATTTTTGAGACAGGGTCTTGCTGTTCCCCAGGCTGGAGTGTAGTGGTGTGATCATGGCTCACTGCAGCCTCAACCTCCCGGGCTCAAGCGATCTTCCCACCTTAAGTCTCCCAAGTTGCTGGGAGTACAGGCCCATGCCACCATGCCCGGCTAATTTTTAAATTTTTTTATAGAAACAGGGTCTTGCCATGTTGCCCAGGCTGGTTTTGAACTCCTGGGCTCAAGCAATCCACCTACCTTGGCCTCCCAAAGTTCTGGGATTACAGGTGTCAGCCACTGTGCTTGGCCCAAATTATGAAGATTAATTTACATGGGGAAAATATTTTCTTTCCACATCAGTCATCTGGGAACTGATAGACTTGTCATCCCTGCAGGAACACCAGAATGTCCCTTTCTAGTCTACTCCATATCTTTGGACAGTATTATATCATAACCAAATATTTGAGTCGTTCCCATCAAGTCTTACTTCTCCAATATTTAATTCTACAAGATTGATCTGATGAAGAATAAATAAGAATAAACAAGTCAAGCGCTATAAAGTGGCCTCTGTAACCAAAAAGATAATAGTAAAACCTAAAAAAGGTTAGATATATCCTTTGGAGATCTGTAAGACATTAGTTGTAGTACTGACTACCTCAGACATATTAGAAAAAAAGTTTATTTTATCTATTCTCAATACCTTCAAATGAGAATGTTTTCTACTAAGGGGGAGCCATTTCTCTATTTTGAGCATAAGAGGTTAGGTTAGGATTAAGAACTGAGGAGCTCTGACCTGCTCTGTATATTAGAGAATATTTTGACAGTTTCCAGGGCAATTTGGGGAGAAGATGGGAGGACCCAGCAAGACAAGAAGAATCTGGACATCACATTGGAGAAAGTTCAAAAGAAAAAACAGCTGAAGGAGGGAGGCCAGGGAAGGGAGTCAGAAAGGATTTTGGAGGTCAAAATTTGCAGATTAGAGATTTCTAAATTATCGCCCGTGCCATCCACAACGAGGTCTCTTCATGACCCGTAGGTCTTCAGCAGACCCATGCATCTTTTGAGTGAGTGTTGTCTGTGGGAATTGGTGGAGGAGATATATTTCAAATCCGGACCACCATGGTACACGGCCAATACCAGGTGAGAGGGAGTGGGGTACCAAGAGGCAAAGGAGGCCAAGAGAAGGTGGGCTCCCGGGGATGTGAAGAAATCCCGGAGTCATGGGAATGGCTTTGTGCTCCCACAGGCTGTGGAACTGACCAGGTAAAGCAATTTTATGCAGTTCTTAAAGGGCAAGGAGGCCGCCATATTTGACTGAGATATAAAAGTGACGATAAAGAAAAACTGAAGTATGTGGGGCCCCTATAAATTTTGCATAAACTGAGTTCTTAAGAATTGAGAAGTAGCAGGAATGATGCGGGAGGGGCCGTTTCCTCCTTGTAATGCATTGAAGGCCGCAAAAAGGGAACTCACACCAACGCTTTCACTCTCTTGGGGAATGTATGCACGCTCTTTCTCTCTCTCTCTCTCTCTCTCTCACACACACTCACACTCACACACACACAGACAAGGTGGTGGGGTGATGGTGTCATCTCCAAGTCCCTCTCCTCATTTAGCTTTTCTGATATTTGAACCGTATCTTATCTATGGATACATTACTGGTTCAGTCTCTGAAGCGGGGGCGGCTATGATGACTTGGCCTTCCTCAGGACATTCCTTGTTAATACAAGTGAACAGTGAGACGATTACGTTGATTTCACTCTCAACTCAGTGAAAGAAGTAAACACCCGGAAGCTCGTTAGAAACGTAGAACCTCCGCCTCCACCCCAGTCCTAATGAATCAGACTGCATTTTAACAGGATCCCGGGTGAGTATGAGAAGCACAGGTCTAGTTTCAATGAGAGCTCTGCTGAGGGTCAGAGACTTAGAAGAATATGAATTCTCACTCAGACGCTGCACTTCATAAAAGGAGGCATGGCTGGATAAAAATAAAGGAAGTTGGAGTTTTTCTGTTGTCGATGGATGTTTGGTGCATTCATTCTCTCTCAAGAAACAGAATCAGAAGGTCTAATTAGATAAAATACAAATACATATTTCCCCCTGTTCTGTGTGTTACTGTGTGAAAGATAGGGAAAGCACAGAGCAGGATAATGAGTCTCCTTTCATAAACTCTCCATCTTCATCTGGCCTCTGTTCTTTTAGAAATCATGTAGTACTCAAAGCATTTCTGGATCATTCCATACATTCTATTATAAGCCCAATTTTGAGCAAGAGGGTGAGTTAGGGAAGGGCAACAACATCATGAAACCTTCTAGATTGTTCTTGTACATTATGCTTGACGACAAATAAGATAGTCATCTTCTCTACCTAATTGAAAAGGAGAAAAGAAGGAAAGGCTGTCCCAGGTAGCAGGGCAGCGCAAAGGCAAGAAATGACACAATAAGAGCAGTAACAGCTAATTCTTCCTGAATGTTTATTCTGGGCTGGGGCTTGTTTTGAGCATCTCCTCTGAATAAACTTGCCAACTAGTATCTGTATTCCTGGGGTCTAGACTGAGCCAAGCAATGTCAGAGATAGGGCTGGAGAGAGAGGGGCCATCAAACAAGAGGCAAGTTCCAGACTTTGACTTCCTTATAATCAATGCACAATGATCTCCGGGGTAAACCTACCTGAGACTTTGTCCCATAGGGAATTGCAGACTTTTTTCCTGAAAGAGAGTGGATCATTCTTGCTCTCATGGGAATACCTTGGGATACAATCTGAAATGAAACCAGAAATATTGACTTCAATGACAGTAACATGGCATTATGCAAGAAAGATAGAAGTTGATTTTTAAATGTAATTTCATATATTCTCCAAGAAATTTTAAAAATTGTGAAAGACCATAGAAGCCCAACGTGGTAGAAACTCCTTCAATGAAAATGGTGATCCTGAAGCTTTTAGTTTGTTTTTTTAATCTTAGATCTTAGAACCGGCTTAAAATTTATCTGATCTAAATCGAATATCACAGATTGAGGGAAGTGATTTGTTGTTACAGAGGTTAAGTGATTTTCTCATCATGACAAAAAGGGAGATTATGAGGAGTAAAACCCAGGGTTCCTAACATTCAATGCAAAGTGTTTTCTTACACATGACTGCTGCTATCTGGGAGAAAATAATAGGAATGCAAATAGCACTCATATTTGCTAGTACTGTCAGCTCAAAGACACATTGTCACTGAAAGTAGTATCAAGAAAAATACATCTATCATGTCTGTTTATATTACCAAGCTAACATAGACAGTGAAAAGTTCTACAACATTAAGCTCACATGATGAAAATCTACTACAGGCCCACCATTCTTTATCCAAACCCATGGGGCCTGATGGTTTCAGAATTCAGAATTTTTCAATTTTAGAAAGTAGTGTAGTACACATATGCTGGATATCACATAAACCCGCCCCATAATCAAACACAAAATTTCTGTAGCAAAACATATTTATGCTAAATGAGATTTTTAAAAGACTACAAAGAGTCTCATGTCAAGTCAGATTTTGCTACTCAATGAGTGATGAGAAGCTTTCTATTTTCAGAGTCTTTTTGGAGTATAGAATTGTAGATAAGATATTACGGGCCTGTGCAATTGAAAAAAAAAAGGAATCTGGCTCCTTTTATCCTGGATGCCATCTTGACTCTCACTTTCTACAGGCAGTGACGCACCATCCTGTTGAGAACCCAATATCAGAAGCAATCATCCGGTTGCAGGGTCCTCCTCGGGTGCCTCGAGTGTCCAATGTTCACCCTCTTGCCAAATTTCGAATTTTAAAAGCTTTAGTAGAATGAGTTTTCATGCAGAGATTCTTGGTATTAAATGGTACTTTTTAAGCCAGGATGAAATCAAACCATGCAATTGTTGAAAAATACCAGGTATTATCTTCTGTAAGAAAGATACATTAAGTACCTGATCTTCCAGGCCAACAGCTTTCAAGGCTTGTCGTCCTCTATGAGAAAGGGCTAAGTTAATGCTTCTTCCACGTGTGAAGGTAGCCACTCGAGTATCTGAGACATTGGAAGCAGACTCCATGTTACGCACACTTTATATCCTAGCTCAGGATGAGCAAAATTACTGCATCTGAACAACTGGTTCATTCGGAACCACATTAAAGAACTTCTTAACTCTTCTAAAGAAAATGCTAATAGCAGTAACTTTATATTAAATTAAATTTAGATAGTTGGTGTTTTTTTTTAAACAAAACTAGTTTTTTTAAGAAAAGCGTTTTATTAAAGAAACTTTTTAAGTTCAGAAAATCTAAAGAAAAGTCAAAGAATTAGAACCACATCCTGCAATTCTTTTTCTTTCTTTCTATCTTTCTTTCCTTCTATCTTTCTTTCTTTCTTTTCATCTTTCTTTCTTGCTCTTTCTCTCTTTCTTTCTTGCTCTTTCTCCTTTCTTTCTTTCTTCCTTCCTTTCTTTCTTTCTTTCTTTCTTTCTTTCTTTCTTTCTTTCTTTCTTTCTTTCTTTCTTTCTTTCTTCCTTTTCTTTCTCTCTCTCTCTCTTTCTCTCTCTTTCTTTGGGTCTTGCCCTTTCACCCAGGCTGGAGCACAGTGGCATGATCTCGCCTCACTGCAACCTCCGCCTCCTGGGTCCAAGCAATCCTCCTACCACACACCACCACACCAGGCTAATTTTTGTATTTTTTGTAGAGATGGGGTTTTGCCATGTTGCCCAGGCTGGTCTCAAACTCCCGGCCTCAAGCGATCCATGTGCCCTGGCCTCCCAAAGTGCCAGGAGCCACCGTGCCCAGCGTTCATCCTGCTTTTTTCACCATGGACGTACCTTCCCTAGCTTCATATACATCAATCTGGAAATTCCTCTTTGCAAGAAAGCATGCTTGTAATGAGCCAACCTAGAAATTAAAAAAAAATTAAATATTTATCTGATTCCACAAATATAGGGAATTTTTAGCAGCAAAATGAAACATCATGTGAGGCTATGTTTTACTAGCCTCACATTGTGTGTGGTCATATTTTACCAGCCTCATTTATCACATTGATTTACTCAATTTCTGCTGAAAAGTATCAGTGGCAAAAATAGCAATATTTATTCAAGATTAAGTAATATGATTTTAGAAGTAGTTTTTTTTTTTTTTACTTTTTTATAGTGAGGTAATTTTCAAACAGAAAGAACATAAAACATATATATCTTACAGAATAATTAGAAAGCAATTCTTTATAGCCTTATATCCCTTATAACCACTACTTTGGTCAAAAAGTAGAATAGCGTCATTCCTCCAAAACTCCCCCCACCTCCTCCCCAGTTACAGTCCTCTTCCTCTCACATAGACGTAAACATTATTCTGACTTCTGTGATAACCCATTCTTGCTTTTTTACATTTTAGCCTTTAGGTATACATATTTCTAAGCAATATACTTTAATTTTACCCATTAAAAATTTTTTAAGTTTTTTTGTAGAGATGGGGTCTCACTATGTTGCCCAGTCTGGTCTCAAACTCCTGGGCTCAAGTGATTCTCCCACCTTGGCCTCTCAAAGTGCTAGAATTATAGGCATGAGCCACTGTGCCCCGCCATTTACCCATTTTTTAAAACCCTATAGTTAGAATCACACTGTGTGTGTGTGTGTGTGTGTTTTGTTTGTTTTTGCATCTTGCTTCTCTAAGGCAACATTGTGGGATTCATTTATATGGTTACATGTAAACTTAAGGTCATCTTTTTTTTTGTTTCTATATGATTCTTCATTAAATGAAAGATCACAGATTATCTGCCCTACTGTCAAAGGACACTTGAGTTGTTTCTGGTCTGGGAATATGTTAACAATGCTTCAAATAACATTTGTGTGTGTGTGCAGGAATTCTGGTACATATATGATAACTTTTTTTCAAGGGTTCTATACATGGAAGTGGAATATCTGGTCAAAAGTTTATGTACCGTCACTTTTCTGATGCCAAACTGTTTCAAGAGTTGGTTGTAACACCAGCAGCTTCTGAAAATTTATCTTTGCCAGCACTTGATGTTCTCAAACTTTTCATTATTGTGGAGTGGGAGGGTGGGAGCTGGTAAGTTGGAGAGGAATGTAGTTTTACTTTGCATATGCTTAATTACTAAAGAAGTTGAGCACTTTTTTTTTTTTTTTTGAGACAGAGTCTCGCTCTGTCACCCAGGCTGGAGTGCAGTGAGCACTTTTTCATATATTGATTGGCTGTTTGGATCTCCTCTTTCACCAAGTGTCTGTTTAGATCTTTTGCCCATTTTCTATTGGGTTGCCTATCTTTTTTCTTTTCTTTCTTTTTCTTTTGTTTAGTTGTTCATAGAGTCTGAATATAGAGTCTTTGTCATTTTTAAACATTAAAAATATCTTCCATTCTGTGTCTTGCTTCTTAAATGCTATAGTCTATTTTGAGTATGAGAAGCTGTTTATTTTAATGTAACCATATTCACCAATCTTTTATTTTATTATTAATGCAATTACAATAGTCATTTTATTTTTAATGCAATTACAAATGTCTTGTTCAAGAGATCTTTGCCTATTCTGAGATCATGAAGAATTTTTTCTGATCTCTTGTCTTTTTAAAGCTTTAGAGTGTTGCCCTACCAGTAGCTTTATATAGGCTGTGGTAGTTTACTACCTCATCACTGGCAACCTGTATTTGGTAAAGTCATCTGTATATAATTATCACACTTGAATTTTCAACAATAGTCAATACCGTTAACTAAACCTTCTGGAAACATTAACCTTCTCTCATTTTCTGGTTTTCTTCATACGTCTCTGGCCAGTCCCACTTTTCCTCTTTCACCATTGCAAAGACGGACAAATATTGGAGTTTCTCAAATCTCCATCCAAGTCTGTCTTCTCCATCCATGATGATGTGAAAATGTATATTTCCTATCCAGATCTGTTTTTTGAGCTCATGCATGCAAATGTTTAAGTGATACAGCTTCTTGTATGTCTCAAAGCACCTCAAAATCAACAGATCCGAATTGAAACTTGCGATCATCGCCTCCCATCTCATCAATTCTCTCCACATATTCCCTATGTAAGTGAATGATATGCCATCCATCCAGTTGCTCAAACTAGAAAGCTAGGAGTCACCGTCTCTCCTTGATACTCCATTCCCAGTTCTGCCAGTTCTACCTTACAATGTTTTTCCATCTACCCATCTCTTTTCATTTTCACCTTTCTGCCTCTAGTTATTGGAATCATTATGCTTAACTAATATCAAATTTTCTGTGTATTCTACCAGCATTCATTTTGCCTCTTTCCAATTTATTTTCCACAAGCAGTAATTTAGGGTGATGGTGTAATAGGTCATTTGAACTAATACCTCTACTGAGAGGAAAAGGAGACGCAGAGAGATGACCTGGCATTTGGAGCCATGCCTACAGGCATCTACAAATGCAAGAGAGGCTGAGGACTTCAGTAGAATTTTTGACAGACTCATGAAACTAGAAGTACAAAATTTGGAGTCTGGGACACTCCCGCACCCCTTGCTCAGGAGGGCAGGTTCTGATAAACCCCTTATGTTTTAGATCAGGACCCTAAACAGGTACATCCCAGGAGAAGGGCAAACTGGAAGGAAACCAATGATCCAAGGGCCTGTCTGGAAATCATCTCTAGTCCTGATCAGATTGCATTAATTTTTGATTGCTGGTAATCACAGCCACCCAACAGAAACAAACATAAATCCTCTCTGGAAAAAAAATGACATCACCATAAGCCTCAGATTTTCCCCACATTTTAAAATATACAAATCTGATCATGTCACCCTTCTGCCCCAGCCTTGCTATCCTTCTTTTAGCCATTGTATTTGCCATGCTGCCCCTTGCTGAGGGGTTTAGCGTGTATTATATCCATGGCCAGAAGTGTTATCTTTCTTCTTTACATAGTAAACTTCCTTTCATCCTCCAGGTCTCCACTCAGCTTCACTCTCTAAAAAAAGATTTCCTGGGCCACCCTACCTCAAATCCTGCAATTATGAGTTCTCACAGTGCTTTGAACTTTATCTTTGGGGTAAATTGCATCCTTCCAACTTCATATGTTCAAGTCCTAACCCCCAGTACTGTAAGAATGTGACATTATTTGGAGATAGGATCTTAATATAGGTAATCAAGTTAAGATGATATCATTAGGGTGGGCCTTAGTCCAATATGACTTGTGTCTTTATAAAAAGGGGAATCAGACACGCATTGAGGAAAGATGATGTGAAGAGACACAGAGAGAAGACTTCCATCTACAAGCCATGGAGAGGGACCCGGAACAGATCTTTCCCTCACAGCTCTCGGAAGGAACCAACCCTGCCGACACCTTGATTTTGGACTTCTAGCACCAGAACTGTGAGACAAGACATTTCTGTTTCTTAAGCTACCTGGTTTGTGGTGATTTATTTATTTTGGCAAGCCTAGCAAACTAATACAAAGAGCTTACAACAACAGAAAATTTACATCTTTAGAGTGATTCTATAATCAATATCTGTCTGTCCTTCTAAGCTATCAACAGGTTTTGCTCACCATTTTATTCCTAGCATCTACCATTGTGTTTGTAACATAGTAAGTGCTTCATATATATTTGTTCAGTGTATAAATAATGGTAGAGATTACATTTTTAAGTAAAGTTTGTAACCAAGTGAAGCCAAAATTTATTGAGCCCCTACTAAATATAACTTAATCTGCTAAATTTTAGGGACTCAAAGGTTACCAAGATAAGTCCTTGTGCCCAGTAAACACCCTATTTAGTAAAAAGAGACAAAGGTATAAATGTATCAATGTTTAATGAACCACTTTTGAGTATGGAGGCCCACTTCTTACATTAAAAATTTGCAGATTCTTTTATATTATTTGAATTTCTAACATGGATTGTTTAAAAATATATAATAAATTTAGTCACAAATCATCTACATATACTTTAAAAATAATTATGTGTTTAAGTCATATAATTTTATCCTACTTACTCAAAATTTTGTATGCATGTTATTTCACAGACCCCTTGCAAAATAGCCCTGGGCTCACAGGTAAAAATCAATGTAAAAAACAAAAAGAATAAGTCAAGTTCTAGAAAACACACATGAAAAAGATTAATTTTTTCTTGACAAATGTGGCAAATTGTATTTTTCAAAGATGGTCATGATGATATCCTTTATCCTACATGCTCTTCTCCAGTGTGATCTTGATACTCCTTCATCAACACATGGGGTTTATTTCTACAATCTCTTAAATCTAGAAGGGCCTGTGGTAGCTTTGACCAAAAAAATGCAGTAGAAGTTACCCTTGAGCCATTTCCAAGCGTAGTCCTTAACTTGTCCAGAAGCTTCTGCTTCTTTCTTTTAGGAAGTCAATTATCACAAAAGACAACAGGTCGTGAGAGTTGGAATGAAGACACAGGAGGTTCATTTATTAGATTGGTGCAAAAGGAATCACGGTTTTTACCGTTAACCACAATTACTTTTGCATCAACCTAATAGAAATGAGTCTCTCTTACTGAGAAAACAGGTAGGGAGAAAGGCAAGTAGGACACTAAAGCCACAATCTAAACAACAAGTGATCAGTGAAAATCTAATGTAGGGAAATGGCCTAAAAGGAGAGATCCTGGGATTCAGAAGCAAGAAATCCATTCATCCATCTCCTAAAAATTCAACCACAGTAAAGGAGCTACAATATATAATGCTGCAAACAAAGCTCTCAGTGACTGTGTTGGAATAGGATCAGCTCTAAGCCAATGATGGGCCAATGGTCTGGTTGCATGGGTTTGTTACGTTCTTTTTCTTTGATGAAAATTGATTCCAGGATCTCAGAGGAGGAGGGCTGACCAAGGTGGAGATTCTGCCTCAATACTTCTAAGGTTGGCAGATGCCAATTCATACCTTTCCAACGCTTACGTGTTTGCCAACTGAACATGTATTAATTGTTTTTATGGGAGAATAAGGGATCTCGGGTAGTGTGGGCACATTAAGATTAAATCTAACTTAGGCTCATGAAAATATTAAGTGCTAGAGAAGATGAGGCCTAATGGGATCTCCTACACATTGCTTGTAATTATCTTTTCAAGTTGGATATTCACATATTGAACAAACCAGCAATTCCTCTTAAAGGCATATACACAGGAGAAACTTTTGCTATATGTATATTGGGTGACATGTGCCAGGTTGTTCAGTGTAGTGCCTTTCATAACTAAAATAGACAAACAAAAAAGCGGGGAATAGCCCGAATGACTATCAGAGTGGAATGAACGAACACATTATGGCATATTCACACAGTGAGATATGATATGAATATATTAGCAAGACTATAAGTGAAAAAATAAGACTCAGATAATTTTATACTGCATGATACAAAATGAAAACAATCAGAACTAAACTATAGACATATGCAAATACATAGTTTTTGAAACACATAAGTAGTATTCATATGTACGTGTATACATGAGATAAATATGTAAATAATATAGGATAAAACTATATATAAAGAGGCAAGGGAGTGACAAATAAGACTTGGCATAATGCTTCTAATGGGTGGGGGACGAGTACAGAGTTGATGAAGTCACTGGCACTCTGTCA
Source organism: Homo sapiens (assembly GCF_000001405.40). NCBI lineage: Eukaryota > Metazoa > Chordata > Mammalia > Primates > Hominidae > Homo > Homo sapiens. The sequence continues at coordinate 241,543,170 of NC_000001.11, read as the reverse complement.
CTTCTTGTGTTGAGTAGTAGATTCATGGCCGCTTATTGTTATTATTATTAATAAACAAACAAACAAGGAAGTAAAAGTGTTTTCTCCAAGACCAGTCATAATACTGTGTAAGGAAATAGATCTCGTATAAATATGACCGCAATTCTGTGTAACGGAGGTTCAAATAAATTTAAAGAAAAAATACAATAGTAGGTGTTACGTCGGTTCAGCCAGAAGGGGTAGTAATGGGCGTGGCTAACAATATAGCTTTCAGACTGTAATTTTCTTTCCCCTCTCACTTTCTGTAAAAAGTGCTTAATTGGGAATAACTGCCAGTGCCATCTTGAGTTGTTAAGCTGGCAGGAAGGACTAAGACAGAAATATATAAGTGGAAAGAAAATGTGGTGTGTAAAGCATGCTAAGCGCACCACACACTCTTGGTTAAGGCACAGCTGGGTTCCTGAGCATAAATAGTGAAGGAGGACAGCACAGGAGAGAAGAAATTGGGCAGGGTTAGACAGCTGGGAGAAACAAAACTATTTTTTGATTCTGGTTCTGAGGGTAAAGCCTTAATAGAGACAGGACTGTTCCCAGTAAGGACATGAACAATTATGAAAAGTTTCTGTATTTGTTTCGAAGCACCAAACGTTCACGATAGTGAGATGTTTGCTCACAAAATAATTTTGCAAATTAAACATTTTTATGAATAACCAGTCTAACCTGTTTGTGTGTACAAGACTTTGAGGACATTCCTTGGTTACATAATTATGGATTTACCCAATGTATCATTATCTCGCTTCTCCACTTTCTTCTGTCTCGTCATACTTCCTTATTTACAGGTCATGTGCTGTATAGGGATGCCTAACCTACCACTTAAAAATATTATTTGAATATTTCCTTTCTATAAATGTTGAGGTATGCTTCTCCAGTCTTCCGTTGCTGAGCTTTTCTGTCAGTTCCCATGTGACCCCTCTAACAGCAATTGTTCAAGTAGCCAATGATCATGAGAAAACTGTAAACCATTTAAATTTATAAATGTTGACCCTTGAATCTTACATTGAACTGATAAGCAACAAAAAAATAAAAAGAAAGAAGGAAAGGGAAAAACTGTGATCCTATTAGGAAGAGGAAACAGGATTATAAAAATTCCGTACATTTTATGTCTTTTGATATAATATATTTGAAATTAATCTGATAGTGCAATATTAAACATTTGTCAACTACTTTTGACTTAATGAAGCGTATAACACCTTCCCTAATCCTTAAGAATCATGAATGTTTCTGAGTTTTCTGTCTATCTAACTTTTAAAAAGCTTGTTAATAGTGTTGAAATCCATATTTGGTCATGAAACTATAGTTTGACGTCTCAAGATTTTGATCTTTGGGTATATCAATGCAATGAGAAGAATCAGACTGTTAACTCTACTTACAATGCAATAAGCACATCAGTGTCTTCATACTTTGTTAGTAAATATTACATCTTCCAGAATTGCATATGTTATGCCAAATATTGTTTTATTATTTAATCCTTACCCTGAGTTCTCTAATCTGTGTCATCTGGAATTGATCTCTAAAGCCAAGCAGTGGTCTTGATTTTCCCTCTTATGAGAAGGTGAATGATGCACATTCCTGAGTGCTCTTAAGAAAATTTATGACTTTTACTCTAGTCTTGATCTTCGTCCTGAACTCCATCTGTGACTACTGAACCTGTCTATAGGCATCTCCCTCTCAACATAGCTAAAAGTTGACTTATTCCCATTCCTCAGCCCTCTCATTCTCCTTCTTCTGTATTCTGTATTCCATAAACTTTCTTCCTCCTTATATATTTCATATCTTAGAGAATAGCAATTGCATTCACTAATTCACCCAACCAGGGTAGCTCGGTGAATATTTAACACCCCTCTCTACCTACCAGTATACATGAAGCTAGGCAATACGTCCTATTGATTGTTCCTCTTCAGTCTCTCTCACAGCAGATCTTCTGCTACCCACAGCTCTGTCCTTACATGGGGCCCTCATTAGCTTTTACCAGGCTACTGCAACCGTTTTCTAATAACCCTCTTTCCCCAGTCTGTATGCATTCAATCTGTACTCTGCACTAGAACTAGTCATCTTCTTTTTATTTTCTTTTTAGACAGGGTCTTGTTCTGTCACCCAGGCAGGCATGCAAGGCTGAGATCATAGTTCACTGCAACCTTGAACTCCTGGGTTCAAGTGATCTCCTGCCTTGGCCTCCCAAGTAGCTGTGATTACAGGTGTGCTGCTATGCCTGGCTAATTTTTTTAATTTTTGTAGAGACAGGATCTTGCTATGTTGCCAAGGCTGGTCTCAAACCCCTGGGTTCATGTGATCCTTCTGCCTCGGCCCCCCAAACAGCTGAGATTATAGGCATGAACCATCATGCCCAATCACTAATTATCTTCTAAATAAGATGTTGAATGATTATTTTTGTCTTACAGTTGTTTATTAGCTCCTTATCTTTTCAGGAAAAAATTCCAAATTTTCAATATGACATAATGGATTCTTACATGTGATCCCAACCTCTTTCTCCAGTTCATTATGCACTATTCTCATGCACTATCTCATGCACTATTCTCTTGCACCATCTGTAATAGGCATACTAAATTTACTATATGTTTTCTGAATATGCCATGCACTTTTATTCTTCCATGCCTTTGAATACTATCCTTCCCTGCCTTATATTCAGTTTTTGGAAAATGCCTACCTTTCCTTTAAGACTCATATCCTCAGTGTAGTTTTTCCTGATACCTCTACTCCTCCAAAAGACTTGTTTGCCTTTTCTTCTGTAATTATATATATATATGTATATAGATGTGTTTTAATGTCTCAAGTACATTGAATTATTTATTTATAGTCTTGTCTGACTTCCACCAGGCAGTAAATTCCCAGAGAGGAATAATATTTGCATGGCTTGTATTTTGTCTTTTTATCTCTGATATAAACCACAAATTCTAATGAATTAGAAAATACAGGTAAATGTGAAGAAAAAAATAATTCCTCACAATTTTACCACCAATGGCAACCAATATTAACATTTTCTATGTATATAAAATACATGATATTTCTTTTCAAAATGGTAACAGGTTGTATATTTTCTTTCATAATTTCTTTCAAAAAATGAAAAGTGTACTCTAAATACATTTCCACGTCAAAAGATGTCTGAAGTAAAAGCATTTAATACTTGCATTACATTTGATTGTAGGCAGTGTGCTTATATTTGGATATTCAAGTTATTTTAATTCTTTAGCATTATAGACAATTGTATGACGCATACACGTTTCTTTTGATAAAATCTCACTAATGAAATGGCCCACCAAAGGGCAATTTTGAATAAAAGGGATTGAAACACTGGCCAATTCCGAGCTCCACACCCTCCTTCTACCTGCCCCGTTGGCTCCTGGGCCTTATTACTAGTGGGGGAATGGAGTAAGGATAACAGGGGAATGAGAAAACAAAGAGGGAAAGAAGAGAGTCTGAAGTGAGCTGCGGAGAGAATATTGATGGTCTAGAGCGTAAGAGGAGCCTGCTCAATCTTCCTTTGTCTTGCTTTTGGAATAACTGCAAAGCACACGAAAGAGATTCAGATTGACTGGGGCAATATCATTTCAGAAGGTTTTGTTGGGAGTTTTGAATACACTCCAGATTTGATGTTTTTGAGAGCCTACATTAGATTCTATTTGCTTTTAATTTCTCATTGGCTGAAGGACAGTTGTTACTCTGAATGCAATGCCATGCTTAGGCCAACTTCAAGGGTGAAGTAGCTATTGCTGCTTTCTGGAATTTTTTTGAGACGGAGTCTCACTCCGTTGCCCAGACTGGAATGCAGTGGCACGATCTCAGCTCACTGAAACCTTTGCCTCCCAGGTTCAAGCAATTCTCCTGCCTCAGCCTCCCGAATAACTGGGACTACAGGCACACACTGCCATGCCTGGCTAATTTTTTTGTGTTTCAGTAGAGATGGGGTTTCACTGTGTTACCCAGACTGGTCTCGAACTCTTGAGCTCAGGCAATCCACCCACCTCGGACTCCCAAAGTGCTAGGATTACAGGCCTGAGCCACCGTGCCCAGCCAAATCCCCACTATTTTTAAGACTACAGATGTGTATATTTTCAAGTTGTTTTCCAGGAAAAAAATACCGGCTTAGATTACCATCAACAGTGTATGAGGGTGCTCTTTTTCTTTGAGTAGACAGATAGAGGACTAGACGAATGCATGAGTGAATATGGACAGAAGGGAAATAATCTGAGAGTATTTGGGAGGAGGATGCGCCAAATGAGAAGGAATGAAAGACACACTCTTTGTAGGCACTTAACAAAGTCTGGAGCTGTCTAAAGTTGTTGGTTCCATTCCAGATACTTCCCACCAGATAGCAAATGAAGGAATCTCTGAGGGATGAATTCCCTGAGGTGAGAGTGGGATTTATGAGGCACAGCCACAAAGAAATCCATTCCACCTCTGTTTTTAGAAGGTGCTAGATATGGGCCACTAATGAGAGTTTTTCATATTTAAGAAGGCTCAGAGCCTATGAAATAGAAAACTGAAACCCAGGTCTAACATGGTGAGGCCCACCAAACAGCCTGCCTTGCTTGCTTTTTATTGCTTACTTCTAGTTGATCTCAAAGCCCATATAGCTAAAAGTCATGTAGCCAAACAATATACATCTAATCTGTCACTAGCTTCCTTATAGACAACGTCTCTGGCATGTATGTCACTATGGTAATAGTTGCTTAAAGTTTTTGTTTTTGTTTTTGTTTTCAGGAACTAGGTGTTCTTACCCAAGTTAAACTACTTGAAAGAGACCACCAACCCTCTTTCTACCTTGCCCATTGACTCCTGGGCCTTATTACTATGGAGTAAGGATAATAGGAGAATGAGAAAGCAGATAGAAGAAGGAAAGAAGAGAGTTGCAGGCCCTTCAACTGGGCCTGCACAAATGCCCAAGAAGTGACTTTCTGATACCAGAAGGCCAAAAACCTCACCTTCACAGCATGCTAATGCCACCATTTTCTGAACATGTGTCCTATGAAGAGTCATGAACCTTGATTATGCATGCTCAGACCACCTATTCATTTTTCCCCACTGCTAATCACCTTCCCCACACCTTAGACCACCCTGCTTCTTTACCCCATAAATATCTCTAAGCCCTATCTTTGGAGAGGTGGATTTGAAAGCTGTTCTTCCATCTCCTTGCTGGGCTGTCCTGTGAATAAAATCTTCTCTTTACTGCAAAACTTGTTGATATGGTTTGGTTGTGTCCCCACCCAAATCTCATCTTGAATTGTAGCTTCCATAATCCTCATGTGTTGTGGGAGGGACCCAGCGGTAGGTAATTGAATCATGGGATTGGGTCTTTCCCATGCTGTTCTCGTGATAGTGAATGAGTCTCATGAAATCTGATGATTTTATAAAGGAGAGTTCCCCTGCATGCCGTCTCTTGCCTGCCACCATGTAAGACATGCCTTTTGCCTTTCACCATCATCATGAGACCTCCCCAGTCACGTGGAACTGAGTCCATTAAACCTCTTTTTCTTTATAAATTGCCCAGTCTCAGGTAGGTCTTTATCAGCAACATGAAAACGGATTAATACACTTGTTATCTCAGTAACTGACTTACTGCATGCTGGGCAGAACAAGCCTAGTTTGGTATCAAAACAAGAGTAGAGCAAATAGAGCTTAGTTTATTTTCACATTGATAAAATAATAACAATAAAGGTTAACAGTAATTATGTCTTTTTCATGGTATAGCTCATTAATATTTGCAAAAAATATAAAGTATGCACTTGAATCAAATTCTGTGTAGACCTCAACCCAGGATTATAAGCCATTTGATGGTTCATATGCACTGAGGACGTTTACTTCAGGGAAAGTGAAAATTCTGGGTGACATTTGATTTCTTTTTTTAGAAAGGAGTAGGTTGAGAACAAAGCTAGAGATCTGTGAGCGAGAAAGTGTGAAAAAGAAGCAGTAGAATTTTAGTGTTAAAAGACTAGCAATCTAGTTTTAGTCCAAGAGGAAGAAACTGAGACCCATAGGGTAAGATTTCCTGAGTGTCCAGCTGGTTGCAAACTCTGCTATTCCCAGTCCCCTCAATGAATAATGTTTTTTCCATCCCATGAAGCTGAGTGAAGAGTAAGTGGTGAGGTGGAAAAATCCTAAGAAGAACAGAACAGAAACACCATTTGGGGACAGTTTGGCATCAAGACCATTTTGAGCCTATAAATCCATGACAGGATTTAACATCTATAGCTGTGAGACATAAACTCTCATAGAGTCAAGGTCAAGTTGCCTCAAAAGCAATTTCATCAGCAGAGGCCACTGACTTGACTTGAATTCCAGGGGGCAGGGCACAATTATCAACAATAAGTCAAAATACGTACAAATCTCCTCACCCTCTAAATACTACTAAATGGAGAACTTTCCTGGGTCAAACATAGGGAGAGTAGATCACAAAGCTCTCTACAGTGGGGTTTCTTTTTTGCAGAAAGGAACAGAAGAAATATTTGAATGATATCCTAAAATACATCTCCAAAATACATGCTAGAATAGTGGACATACATTGCAACAGCAGGAGTCAGCTGAGACTGGAATGCTTAATAGCCCTCTTACCAAGGCTCTTGGCTTCAGTCAAAAAATGGTGTCTTGAGTAGCTTTAGCTGTCACTGAAATGGTGCCTTTTTGCTCTGATCACTTTCGTCATACCTGTAAACACTGAAAACAGTTATCAAAAGCAGTATTTTCTGAGTCTTAAGGACTGAATTCAGATGTGGATTAAGGACACTTGTTTAGCTTAGATGGCCTTTGTTTACTTCTCTGGCTTGTCTACTTCTCTCTCACTTCATAAAGAAAAGAAAACATATCACTCTAACATGAAGTAAGGCAGTTTGTATGGCAGTTTTTTTGTAATGCAGGTTTTTTTTGAAATGATGTGCTAGAATTGAAAAGCTACACTGTAGAACTCCTTCCAGCATGCAAAATTGAGATTATTTTCCAAATCCTTTTTTAAGTTACTCATTGAAAGGACTACATTCCTCATGACATAATTGTGTTAAAAAAAAAACTCTTTAAAAATTTCCCATAACTTCTAAAGGAGTGATTCTCCACTTTGTTCTGAAATCAAACTCATGCACAGAAAATATTTTAGTGTGGCTCACATTATAAGGCACTGGGAAACCTTTATAAAGGTAGCAGGAGCCAAAGATAAAATAATCTTTAGATCTACGAAGTAAAAAGCTTCTATGGGGAATAAACTATGCATAACAAAATTTTAATAGAAGGCAGCATTTGATAATGACAAACAAAGCCCTGTGGGCATTTAAAGAGAGGAGAAGCCTTCACAGGTTGATTGTCCTGCAGTTACCTTCTGGAACTAGCAGGAGGTAATCCCATTGGCTGGAGAAGGGATGGGGGAGTTGTAATTCACACAAGGAGGAAAATATCAGTCAATACAGGGGTCTTTCTAAATATTTAGGTCAATGTTCTTGAAATGCTATTTTAACATCTTTTCCCACTTGTTTTTCAATATTTAAACTTTACCTGGTTTATGATTATGGTTTAGTTTCTTTTACCTTTTGTTTCTCATTAGGAGTTTTTTTACTGGTTTGTTGATCTCTTTGACTGAACATGTCTTCAAAGAAAGGAAATCAACTGGTTTAACCCAATATCAGATGATCACTACATCAGAGCAAGAATAACTTCTCAGGGTGACTTTTCATTAGGCAAGTTTACTAGACATGGTAAGCTACCACTGATAAGAATTGAGGGAAGTTCACTATATTTTTTGGATGTCTAAGTAAAGGTTCTCAACTCTCATTTTTTTTTCTAGGGGCCAGGGGAGAGCCTTTAATGTGTTAGACAGTATAAGGTACTGGGATATGGTTTATGGAAAGGAGGAGGTAGGAAGGGAGGGTGGAAAAAAAAACAGAAGAAGATGGGCAAAAATGTAATCTTGTCCTCTATGTAAAGACATTAACCTTCTTGAATTGCTCTATTTAGTCAATACTTTTAAAAATAATTTTCTCAATATTCAAACATGCATCTGTTATTATTTTTTCACCTTTATATCATTAAGTTTTCTCATTCCTCTCATTTATTCATCCACCCAATACATAATGTTAGGCATAATTACAGCCTCTGGAATACATTGGTTAATAAGAGTTTATATCCTAGTTGGAGTAGATATCTAAGAAACAGGTTAAAAAAAAAAACCCAAAGTGTGTAATTTCCGATACTGGTAGATAAGATTAACAAATAAAAAGGGAAAGGGGTGAAGCCAGAAAGGCAGATAGGCTTAGTTCAGACAAGACCTTTGGTAAAGAGTTTGGGTTTTATTTTATTTGTAATGGGAGATCATTGGAAGATTTTAAGCAGGGGATGATAATGATCAGACTCATGTTTTAGAAGGGTGTTTCTGGCTGTGGTGTGTAGTATGGACTATAAGGGAAAAGGAGTTAAAGCTGGGAGACTAATTTGGAGCTTGTTGCAGGAATAAGGATGGCGGATGATAATGGCTTGGGCCAGGATGGTTGTAATGGCTAGAATTTAAATGTATTTTGGATATAGAGCCTCAAGGCTTACTGATGGAGTGAAAGAAGAATAAGCGTTTGCACAAAATGACAATAGGAATCAAACATGATGCGTAAGCATGGACTTGAACAATAGGATGGATAGAATTCTTTTGCAGAGGAATTTTAGTTGCTCCCTAATACGCAAGTAGTAATTTTTGTCTCCTATTTTCCAGCATATGTATGACGTGGTTACATGATGACAATCTCATGTTATTCAGGGAGAAATCCATGGATGACACCCACATTTTTATGCCCCCCAAAACCATATATACAATCACATATTTGTTATCTCTCCCTTGGATTTCTAAGAGACAATTTTTAAAATGAGACATCACTGCTGCCACCTTAGTCCAAGTCTTGAGCTAACGTAACAGCCTCCTAACTGGTCTATCTTGTCATCTTAAAATGTTCCTAGTCATTCTCCACATAATGGTCCAAGGGACCTTTTAAAATCACAACTTAATTTCCTGCCTAAAATCCTCCAATAGTTTCCCATTGTAATTTGAACAAAATCTGATCTTCTTGCCTGGACCTCTAAGATCCTACAAGATCTGGTCTGTCAGCTTTTCTGGCCTCATCAGCTACTCTTCTCTGGCCTCAGGCAGTTCCTGCCTTTCTTTCTGCTCCTTGAACTTGGGCAGCTCATTATTGCCTGAGGGTTTCTCTTCCTGCTGTTCCCTCTGCCTGAAATGCTCTTTCTCAAGATCTTCACGTAGTTAGTTCTATCTGATCATTCAGGTCTCTGGTCACATGTCCCTTCAGCAGAGCAGCTGTCCCTGACCACATTCTAAACAGGTACTCCCAAAGATACTCTCTACAGCACTACCCTGTTTTCGTTTCTTTCATAGTGCTTCTCTTTAACTGAAATTGTCTTATTTGTTTTCTTCTTCCTTGTCTTTTTCTTCTCTGGAATTCTCACCCTCGCATCCCTACTACCTAAAACAATATTGGTACATAGTAATCAGATTTTGTTGAACACATGAATTCTCATTTTGTGCAACATTTTGATAGGACAGATTGGACACAAGCCTAGTATGAAGCAGTGACGACACATGTCCCAACCAGTGACCAACACATCATGTGATAGCATTTCTAAATGAAAATTTAGAATCAGAAATATTAAAAGAACTGTTCTAGCACTTTGGGGAAAAGACACTAAGGAAGGCAGAACAAAAGACAGCATATACTGTATAAATACATGTGTGGCATAAAATATACCATCTATATTCAGCCTAGAACAGTGTTACGCCCTCAATAAATTTTTTGTTGAGTGGATATATGAATAATTAATGAAAAGTCTCCAAATGATTTGACCAAAGGTGATAGGGAAATGATTTAACCTTGACTAACTGGGATGTTTGTATTCTGAAACAGAAATTCTGCTGAGATGGGAAAAAGCAAAGTTGAATCGGAGCAGACCCATGTTAAACAGAACTACCTTTGGCACCATAACTATGAAAGCAGAGAGTGACCTCTCCTTCCGTCTTGTTAGGTATGGGGGAAGCCCCAGCACCTTTACGTCACGTGCTCAGTGAGAGGTGAACACCTCACTCCACTGTCTTAGGTGCTCCACTGGAAGAGTCAAGTAAGTCAGGCGACCACATAAATCTTATTCCCAATTACTCATATAACTAGTGAACATTCAACATGATACTTTGACGTTAGCTTCATGTTTCTTGACCCTTTTATTCTCATTAGACAGCATTAACTGAGTTATTAAACAAAGCGGAACAAATGTTTTTATTAAAATGAATATTGAGACTAATTCCTGTTCCTAAAAACATAGCCAATTTGGGGATAAAATCAAATTCAATTTGCATTATTTTTGCTTTTTAACAAATCCTAAACCAAAATGATGAGGGAAAACAGAAACCTTTGTATTTAATGGCTATAAAATACCTTTCCTGAAAAAGAACAGATTAAAACTCATACTATATTAAATCTATGAAAATAAAAATATTAAAAAAATAAACAAAATAGCTGTATTTAAATATCAGAGTTTTCACAAGAAAATTAACAATTTGCAGAAGTGACGAATAATAATCATTACGAGTAATAATAGTTAATATAATACCACCAACAATAGTAATCCATCTGAAAATTCTTACCAAGCCACCACCAATGACAGCTACTTTTTTCCTTTGAATGACAGATGAGTCCATAACTGCTGAAGTATTTTTCACAATTATTGTTGCTTCTGTCACTGAGTGACACTGATTTCTGTGTCTCCTACACACTGATTTCTCTGAGTTTTTATACTGCCCCAAGCCTAGTGCATTCATGAGCCAGCGGCAATGTTTAGTCAGGGCTAATTTCCCTTGACAGTATTAACCCATTAGTTGGCCAAAGTACAATCAGCTCAGCTCTAAGAAAAAATAAATCCATTACAATAACCAAATTTTTTAAAAAATCCATCCAATTGGAGACACTCTATTTTTTCTATCTTCTGTGTAAGACACAGAAATTTTTAAGCAGTCTTGTGGCTTTTCTTCTTCTTTTTCTACAGCATATATTCTTAGTTTCGTTTTCATTCATGATTAACCATGAATGGAGCCCTTCTCATCTGAAGTCCAAAAACATCTTATACCTCCCTTAGAGAGTAAGATGACATGGTTTCATAATTCATCTGTGGATCATTTTTGTGGTTAAGACCAATCAAAAATTTCATCTAAAGGGTCCTCATGGATTGTTTTTAACAGGCTCTACCAGGGAAAATTCTCTGCAAGGTCTTAATATTCTCCCGATCAACATTTTGAATTGTGTAACTGACCATACTTCCCCTTTTTTTTTTCAGCCCAGATGCTAGAAAATTTAGAATCTAATTTTAGAATCGAAAATTTAGAGTCTAATTACCACTAGGGGAGATGACTGACACAACGCTTCTGTAAACTCATTCCCGACTTCATATTATCTATTCACTTTTTTGTCTTTTTCACTCCGTTTTAAATGTTATACTTTTGTGCATGATTTGCGAATGGCAATTGTTTTCTGGAACATGATGTGGTGTAATGTAAAATAAGAACATAAATGAAGTTGTTTCTTCACTTCCTGTTAAGCACATAAAGAATTCAGAACGTTTTTTTCCCTGGTTAGGAACTAGAGTTAAATGGCATTCAATAGTGACCCCTTGTGGATAAGCATGATTAGGTATTTTATTTATTTTGAATAGGTAATACATTAACATGGCATGAAATTAAAGACACAAAAGAGTACACGGTGAATAGTAATCCTGCTAACCTTGACCCTTGGCCACCTATTCCTCCTGCCCAAAGACAACAACTGTTTTGGTGTGTGGGTTACCGTATTCTTCTACACGTTGATTATGTCTTTCTTGTTCTTCCTCTCTCTCCTTTTCTCTCTCTCTTTCTCTCACTCTCTCATTCCCTTCCTTCCTTTCTTTTTAAACATACATTTAAAAACTTTTTCCACATCATATTTCTCACTTTACAACATATAGCTTGAGAATTCTTCAATATCAATATGTAGAGAATATGTATCAATTCCTCAGTATCAATATGTATCATTGTTAAAAAATCTTTTAAAAATTATGAACTATAACACAAATGAACAGTATAATAAGTTACTGTAAAGCAAGTATCCATGTAACTACCATTTAGGTGCAGAGAGAGAATATTGCCAGAATCCCAGAAGTCTAACGTGCCCCCTGTTAATCACCCCTCCTTCGTAGAGGTAACTGCCATACCAACTTTCTTTGCTTTTATGTATAATTGTACCATGATAGATGCATCCCTAAAATAGTTTAGTGTTGACTTTTTTGAACTTTCCTATAAATGAACTTATACTGTTTATTTTTTTACAACTTGCTTCTTTTTCTCAATATTATATCTCTTAAGATCCATTTGTGTTGTTGCATGTTTTTCCAGTTCATTCATTTTTATCGTCATTTATTATTTGTCCATTGTGCTGTTGATGGACATTTGGGGTGTTTCCAAATTTTTAATATCATGAATAATGGTGTTGCCATAAACACTCTTGTGTATACAATGTCATGTACATATGTATGAGTATCTCTAGGTTTCATATGCTGTTTATGCTTTTTTGTTTGTTTTTTGTTTTTTGGGTTTTTTTGAGATGGAGTCTCACTCTGTCACCCAGGCTGGAGTGCAATGGTGCAATCTCGGCTCACTGCAACCTCTGCCTCCCAGGTTCAACTGATTCTCCTGCCTCAGCCTCCCGAGTAGCTGGGATTACAGGTGCCTGCTACCACGCCTAGCTAATTTTTGTATTTTTTCAGTAGAGATGGGGTTTCACCATGTTGACTAGGCTGGTCTTGAACTCGGCCTCAAGTGGTCCACCCGCCTCAGCCTCCCAAAGTGCTGGAATTACAGATGTGAGTGACTGCGCCCAGCCATGTTTATGCATATTTTTAACCTTTCTGAATAAACGAAAGTTACATTCCAAAGTAGTGCATTAGCTTTTACTTAACACAATGTGTAAAATTTGTCTTCTGCTGTATCCTCACCAATGTATGTATTGCCAAGAATTTTTAATTTTTGCCAGTCTGGTAGATGTGCTTTATATTTCAGTGTTCTTTTAATTTGCAGTCCTTTGATTATCAGTGAAGTTGAGCACATTTTTACCTGTTCATTCACAACTTCTTTTTCTTCTTCTGTATAGGTAGTGTTAATTTTTGGGGGGGGAGGGTGGGAATTTTTTTTTCCTTTTTTGAGTCCCATTGCATATGAACTTTAGTACTTAGATATGTCACAAATAACATTTCATTCACTCTGTGGCTTGCCTTTTTGCTTTCCTAGTGGTGTCTTTTGATGAAAGAATATTCTTCATTTAATACATTCTTTTCCCTTGTGGTTAGAGTTTTTCATGTCATGTTTTATCACTTTTTTTGTATAATCTTGAGGTCATGAGGATATTCTTCCATGTTGACTTCTAAAATAGTTATAATTTACCTTTCATTTTTAGGTCTATGATCAACATGGAGTTAGTTTTTTTGTTTTTGGAATGCTGTGATATAGATGTCAAAATTTTATTTGTTTTCCAAATGAATACCCAATATTCCCTGTACCAATAAATGAAAAGACTTTCCTTTTCCCGCATTGCCTTTGGTGTAGGTCCAGTGTTCATATATGTGTGGGTCTCGTTCCAGGTTTCTATTCTATTTCATTCCATATAGTCTATACTGCCCATACTATACCTACTAATGCCAGTTCCAAAGCCAAATTACAATAGCTTTAATACAATCCTTAATATCTTCATCAATTCACCCACCTTGTCCTTCATTAATAATGTATTGACTATTCTTGGTGCTTTGTATTTCCATCTGTTTTAGAATCAGCCTGTTAATTCCATTTTAAAAATCCCTAAAATAAAAATATGGTTGGGATTTTTGACTGGGATTGCTTCGAAGTTATACATCTATCTGGAAAGAATAACTATTTTGACTACTGCGTCTTTCCATTCAGAATATGATATGCCCCTCCCCACCATCTGTTTGTCATCTCCAAGGCTTACAAAGTTATATTCTTTCCCTGTAGAGGTTTGATCCCCTATTATTATGTTTAGGTAATTGATTTTTTAAATTTTATTGTAAATAATATCTTTCATTTCATTTTCTACTATTAATAGTATTTAGAAACACATTATTTTCCATTTTGTGAGCTTGTATGCAGCAGCATTGCAAAAGTTATTAATTCTATTGATTTTGTCTGTAGATTTTTTGATTTTTCTTTTCACCCAATCGCAATGACAGTCCCTTCCTTCCTTCTTTCCTTCCTTCCTTCATTCCTTTTTGTCTTTCTTTCCTGTTGACTGAATGGTGGATTTTTCTCTTCACCACAATCATGGTAGTTTCTCTCTCTCTCTCTCTCTCTCTCTCTCTCTCTCTCTCTCTCTCTCTCTCTCTCTCTCCCCCTGCTACTGACTGATTGAATGATTCTTTCCATGCTGGCTAGTACCTCCAGTACAGGGTGGAATACAGGTTTATTTCTTAAGTTCCAAATGCATGGCACATCCTAGTTTTCTTATTGTTATTGGTTTTTAGCAAAATTCCAGTGAGGCCAGCTAATATGTGCTATAGATTTTCAAACATGTGAAACGGGTTAAGACTCATTGTATGGCCATAAAGTGGTAAATTTGTGTAAATGCTTTGTGTGTACTTGAAATATATATATATTCAAGTATTTCAGAATATATATATATTATATATATATATATTCTGAAATTAATGTATATATTTTCCTATACATATCCATTAGGTCAAGTTTATTAATCATGTGTTCAAAACTTTTGTATTCTCGCTAACTTTTGGTATGCTTGTTTTGTCAATTACTGAAAAAGGTTATGTTAAATAATCTCACGCTGTGATTGGTATTTGTCTGTTTCTTCAGCATTTCTATCTATATGGAACAATCCACATTTAAAGCTGCTATCCATTACTGGTAAACTAAAGCTTTTATTATTATGAAGCAAATAATTATTTTTGCCTTAAACTTTATTTGATAGTACTATTAGCTTTTATATTTAGGTTAGCATTTACATATTATATCATTTCCAACCTTTTGGTTTCAACTTTCTTTTATTCTTATGTGGCCTTTGTAAACAGCATTCTGTTGAACGTTTTAAAATCCAGTCTAGTCTTTAATCTTTATCTTTTAACTTGAGTCTTCGGCTTTCTGTCGTTTCACTAAGATGTATCTACATAAAAATTTATTTTTATAGATCCTAGCAGGAAATCATTGGGTTGCTTAATAGAGATTGGTTTCTTCCCTTGTCTCTTATCCTTTAATCTGTATTTTCATTGCTTGTCCTTTTGTGCTTCGCTATGGATAGTTATGTTAATGCATTATGTATTTTAATGTATTATTGAATTTCCCAATTCTTTTTTCTACTGTCTAGTCAGCTGATAAACTCATCCATTATGCTCTTAACTTTGATTATTGCAATTTTTTAGTTCTGGAATTTTTATTTTATTTTTCATATGTACCACAATATTTTTAGTTTCCAGCACCCTTGCCAAAATCCTCAAGTTTATGTTTATTACTTAACATAATAAACATGAATGTCTTACGGTCTGTGTCTGATAATTTCTACTGTGGCTTTGTTTTGATGGTTATTTATCGTTTGTAGACACTTATGTTATCTAATTTCCCTGTGAGCATTTTAAGCTTTGAGTGCTCAAAATGGTAGTTGAAAAAAAAAAAAAACCTACTTGTAAGTAGTTTGAGGCTTCAGGCATCAGTGTATTGCTTTAGAGAAGATTAATTTTGCTTCTGCCTTGTGCTTATGGGTGATTCAGCACTCACTCCGTATGCAATATCAGTGAGGTCTGTCTTAGGAATAGCTGTTCCTTTGGTATCTACATAGCCCATATGGGATAAAACTAGAGATCGTTGTGCTACTTGCTCTCTTTAAGCCTAGAAGTTCAAAACCCTTTTCCACAACACATGACACATTTCATTTTCAATGTTATTCATCTAAAAGATGAACTCTCATGGAAGTACTAATATTAGCAGTTTGGGCACAGATAAGATAGCCTGAAGTTTACATACAATTCTCTGCTTAATAGCTAGAAACTTACCCTTTTTCTTTGACTCAAAGAAGCACACATATTAATACTATATTATCTGAGTAAAAACGTATTGCACCTGCTTTACTTATTTTTAAAATAATTTTCAAATTTTGATACTTTAACTCCTATGTATAACAAATTGTGACCCACCTCACAAATAATCTGGCTAAAACAGTGTTTTATGACATTAAAACTGACTATAAAGATGCTGATAACTATTGTTCTATGATGTTTCTACATCTCTTATTAGGCGGGTCAAATAACTCTCCACTTATGGGCCAAAAAATTATGTCAAGTCAATAGTTGAGATAAAAGAAATTAATTATTAATCATGAAGTCTGTGCAGCATGTAAACAACATGCTAATAGACTGATAAGTAATGATTATTATTACTTTTATAGTAAGTCCCAGTTTTCTCAGTTCATTCTTAGAATAGATAATTTTGTTATTACCTCTCAGAAATGTCCTCAATTTCTGTTATAGGGAGAGTCAGTAATAAATGACTGTTTCTCCAAAAAAGTGACAATTTTCATATCTCATGTTGCTTTTATTTTTTTTGACAATCCAAACTAAATGAAACTTAAATTGATAGATATATTTTATTTTTTAACTTTATTTTATCTTAATTTAACTTTTAGGTTCAAGGATACATCTGCAGGTTTGCTATTTGGGTAAACTTGTGTCACAGGGGTTTGTTGTACAGATTATTTCATCACTCAGGTACTAAACCTAGTACCCAATAGCTATTTTTTCTGAACCTCTCCCTCCTCCCATCCTCCACGTTCAAGTAGGCCTCAGTGTCTGTTGTCCCCTTCTTTGTATCCGTGTGTTCTCATAATTTAGGTCCCACTTATAAGTGAGAACATGCAGTATTTGATTTTCTGTTCCTACGTTAGTTTGCTAAGGATAATGGCCTCCAGCTCTATCCATGTTCCTGCAAAGGACATGAGCTCATGCTTTTTTATGGATGCACCGTATTCCATGGTGTACATGCACCATATTTTCTTTATCCAATCTGCCACTGATGGGTTGATTCCATGTCTCTGGATAGCTACATTTTATAATAACATCTGAATAATTTGGATTTGAT
Source organism: Homo sapiens (assembly GCF_000001405.40). Classification (NCBI taxonomy): domain Eukaryota; kingdom Metazoa; phylum Chordata; class Mammalia; order Primates; family Hominidae; genus Homo; species Homo sapiens. The sequence continues at coordinate 241,525,970 of NC_000001.11, read as the reverse complement.
GATCTTTGAGTTGGAAGAGGAAGGAAGAGGTAATAAACTTTTGTATAAGATTAGGCAGGAGAAAACAGATCTGAGTAGAATGATCCAGTTGATGACTTTTAGAAATTGTAGGATAACATGAGAGTCCAGAGTGCCTGAAAGAGAAAGGGCAGCAAAAGCTTGAAAAAAGCTTAACTATTATAAACTTACAATTTTGACCATGGCTACTTATCCCTCTGTTCTTCCTAAAAGTCAGGTAGAAAGCATTGTGTTGGAGGAGCCTCAGGAAGGTTCAAGATCACAATCACTCCTTTCTCTGGATGATGTCCTTGAGGGAGAGAAGAACTGATAGACTAGCTTCCCCCATTCTCTGAGCCTGAAGAACTTGAGACTGTAGGATAAGTAGGGATTTATAGAGCAATTTGTGTCAATAGCAGTAAGCAATTCATCCTTGTTGGGATTCAGCTATTTGTTAATCCCTAAAACTGGTACTTTTACAATAGAATGACTCCAAGAGGAGAATACCTTACATCAGACACTGAATATTTCCACTTTACACATATTTATATATTTAACAAATCAGCATTATTGGAAATAATAAACATTTATGAAAAGAAATTAAAATTTAGCAAAGGATTAATTAAAACAATATTTACTCCGATGTTTTCATCATTCTCAGACTGTTGAAATTGACAGAATTATCTCCCTTTGACGACATCAGCTTGCTCAACAATTGTTTATTCGTTTAACCAAGCCCTTTGTACTTGCAGCTGTCTGCCTAGAATACTCTTCTATCATTGTATAGCTGGCTCTCATTGCTTAGTTCTCAGCTCAGATACAATATCCTTAGCTTGATCACCTTATCTAAAAGAAGCAACCTCTCAATCATTCTCTAAACATCTTGTTTCCTTTATTGTGTTCACTATTCTAGGAAACTACCAGGCTTATTAGTTTACTTGTTTTATTAAACAAATATATATTGGTGAAAGTAAAAAGAGAGGAAAGTGAATGGATTCAAGATATAAGTTTGTGTTAAATGACCAGGATCTGCTGGTAAATTTGGCATAGTGTACGCATATGTTTGGGAAATGGAGGCAGAGTTCAGGAATCAAGGAAGACTTGCAGGTTTCTAGCTTGACTAACTGGTAGTAGTTTACTGAGCATGAAAGACTAGGGCGGGGTGCCAACTAAGATTTATCATTTAGGTATATTAAGTTTGAGATGTGAGTATTGAGTTAGATAGAGATACTAAGCACACAGTTGGAAATGTAAATCTGGAGCTTGGAGAAACCTAGGTTGGAAAAATAAGTTTGGCACCATCAGTATATCAACATAAAGATGGTACTGAAAATCATGGGAATGAAGATTTCACCTATGGAAAGATAACTGATTGAGAAGATAGTTAAGAAAGGGAATAGCATGCATAATTCAATAACATTTACATAAAAATTTAAACTGCACAAAACAACTGTACAAATTTTACAAGAATACATCTAAACAAAAGGATACAAAATAAACACATTATAATAGTTTTCTAGGGGTTTGAAAGGAGAAAGGGTATAGGAGAATAAGAAGCTAAGTGAAGCTAAGCTATGAGGACTCAAAGTCATAAGAACCATATAATGGACTTTGGGGACTCAGGGGGAAGGATGGGAGGGGGTGAAGGATGAAAAACTTAAACATTGGGTACAGTGTACACTGCTTAGGTGATGGGTGCAACAAAATCTCAGAAATCACCACTAAAAAACTTATCCATGTAGTCAAAAGCCACCTGTTTCCCCAAAACTATTGAAATCAAAAAAGAGAGTAAAAATATGAATAGAAAATAGGAATAGAAATGAAATATTTAAATAAAATAAGAATGGATCTTATACTCCATAACATGTCATAAGGTCAGTGTATTTACTCAACACTCTGTACCTGAGGTCCCACTATATTTTTAAAAATGAATTAAAGAGGAAAGACTATTTAGGAGTGAGCCCTGAGGCCCTTCCCTATTTATAAGTGAAAATCTGTCAAAGAACAGTGTGAAGGAATAGGTAGTGAAACAAAGTGGAAGTTTGGGAGAGGGAAATACGGAGACTTTGATATTTCAAAGAGCGAGAAAGAGGTATTTCCAAGGAGAAGGGGTGTCAATTGTGTCAATGCTGCTGCAAACATAGGAAACTAATTGTTCATTGTATTTGCACCTTGCAGGTCACTGGTGACCCTGGAAAGGGCAGTATGAATGGAGTGACATGTACTGAAGGCAGATTGTAATAGGATGAAGAAAGAATGAGAAGTGAAGTGAAGATGGTGATCAAATATGTCCTGGAAATGAGGAGGGAGTTGAAGTGGGATGCAAAGTCAGAGCAGCTTTTGTTTGTTTTTAACATGAGAGCTGAGACAGCAAAGTTACAGTATTAACTTATTCTATGGGTCAATTAAGAGAAATAACCAGACAAAGTAAGAAAAAGAGTGGGTAGTGTCTCTGAGGGGTAATGGAATCCAGCACATTGAGGAATTGAAGTTTTTCTGGAGAATGGAGAGAGAGGTTGGTTAACTTTCTGAGTTGGTAATTTTAGTGTTTTGCAAAGTTTCTGTACGTGCACTTAGTCTTAGGAATAAAAAAGTTCTGCAAGACATCCAACCTAAACAGTCATCACCCTTGCTACCTCTCCGCCACTTATCCTTGCACAGAGGCATCCCTTCCAGTTCCTGGGTATATACTTCCACATCTCTAAAGATTACCTCTTGGTTTTTATTTCTGTCTGTCCAGTTTATGGTTTTAGGTATTAGATCATGACTTCTCACTACTGAAGACGAAGATTAATGTTTTTTTTTTCACCGTGTCTGAATCTCTCCAAACTTCTACATTCTTTCCATCTCCCCATCCTTTCAGTATAGTTACATCAACATTTCAGTTAGATCAATATTCAACGTTTGATTTATTATAACTATGGCCATTCAAATTTGATAATGATTATTTTCCCTTTTCTGCAAAATACAACTATCTTTATTTGTCAGTTTAATAACTGTCATGCTTTTTCCCTTTGGTTACTTTTCTAAGACTTATAAATGTAACCCTCAAACTCTCCCCCAATCAGCTAAATTCCTTCTCAGTATATTCAAGGCATTAGCAATTTTATCTTTTTGAGTAAATCTATTCCAGAGGCTGTGACCTGCTTCCATCTGAGATGGTTGCTCTCTAAGGTAAGTGCACAGCTGTCATAGCCTCCTCCAGGCAATATGCCACATCTGTCTCTTGTGTCGAAGACCCTATTTTCTAAGTCCATAATTTCCTCTTCCTTTGTTTACTCCTAGTTACGGTGGAGCACTTACTTGAGGCGTTTTCTTGAAAAGTGTAGATAAGAAGTAAATTTTTTGACATCTTGATCATGTGAAAACATTTTAATTCTCTTCACACACTTGATTTCTCTGGGTATAGAATATAAAGTTGGAAATAATTTTCCGTTAACAATTTGAAGACATCATTCAACTGCTGTCTGGCTTCCGATATTGTTGTTGTGAAGTCTAAGGATTTCTAATCCTTTGCTTATTTATTTTTCTCTCTGAAAGATTCCAGTCTCTTCTCTTTGCCCTTGGTATTCTAACATTTCTTGTTGACATAACTCATTCTGGCTAGTTCATATCTGCTAGTTCTACAATATATTTTTCTGAATTTATTTTTTTAAGGTTTATTCCATTTTTTCCTAATGTTTCCCCTACATTATTCACATGTTGGACATACTGAACTGTTTCTCTAATTTTATTTACTTCTTTTATTTTCCTTCTCTTTGAATATTTGCTCTACTTTCTGGGAGACTTTTATGGGTGTATCTTGCAAATTTTCTGTTAAGCTTCCTCTAGGAAACCCACTGGTAATCTCCCAGGCTGGGAGGTATCCTAAATTAGAATTTGCAAAAGTCTTTAGTTTGAATAAGGAGAACATTTTGATTGATACAATTTGAACCTCGCAATCAATTTTGTCAGCCAGGTGTTGAGATTTAGAACACAGGCAAGAGAAAACCATTGCACTTTTCCCTTGTCCCTCAGCAGGACACCAATCACATCCCCTACCTTAAACAGAAAGCAAAGTAAAACAAACAAGAACAAACCAGGCAAGCATCAACAAGAAGAAAGCAGGTCAATATTATTATCAGACAAGTCCAAAGTTAAAAAAAAAAAACCCAAACTCTAAGCAAAGTAAAAACATTATTTCAAATAGATAACATAAGTCATTCTAAAATGAAGATATCTAGCCTTTATTAAAGGCTTTATGTACGTTTTATTACGAATTAATAAAAATAAATTAGCTAAGTTAATATTTCCTAAATTTTAGTCATTTATATAGCATCTTCATATTATACTGAATATTTTACTTCAAATAAAATGAATAATTAAAAATGGAACTTCATATTACTACTGCAGATAGAAAATCAGTTTCACTAATAAATCGAAGTAAAACACACAAATAAATATGTGGATGTTCCTGGGCATCAATTTTTCTCTTCTATGTACAGGAATAATAATAGGACCTATCTCATAGGGTTGTTTTTGAGTGTTCCAAGAATTAATACATATAAAGTGCTTTGAAAAATTCTAGAACATAATATGTGTCATAGGTAATTTTTAAAAGGGATTAAAATAACCTATTTATAAAAAGGCTATTAATTTGGGTTTTGAAAAGTTAAACTGTATGGTAGAAATAAGAGACATGCTCGAAACAAAAATGAAACAAAAAATAAAATAAAATGAGAAATATACAGCAGGCAAATAATAGCCAATATGAAATTGGTAGAGAAATATCAATATTAAAAAAAGTTTAAAAGGACAAGCAACAATAACAATAAAGAGGGGCACCACACAATGAAGAAAGAGATGATCTATGAAGAAATGATAAACATATGTTCATTAAATAATTTTGTGTAATAGCAAAGAAAAATGTTCTTTATTAAGAAACTGGATAAATAAAATATTTCATATTCATGTGATCCAATATGATTAATTTTAAAAGATCATGGCTATATCTTAAAAGCATAGAGTTCAATTATGCAACAGTAAAACTTTAAAGTAAAATATTAAAACCATTGTTTGTATATTAGTGTATGAAGCAAAAAATACACAGAACTGAAAGGATGCATCAAAATAATGATATACACAATAATGATACCTGCTGGGAAGGAGGAGAACAAAAACAAAACGTCATTCCATTATTAGCAATGTTTTAAAGAATTTGCATTCAGTTTTCTAGTGTGTTTTGATTGTAGTTCAACTATTACAATCTCATTTGAATTTTTATATTTTAAATATGTGTCAAATTTATAAGTCACAAAATAACATAATGTTACCAAAAGGTTTGGCAAGTTTGTAAGTTTGACTCATAAATTTGGCTTTGCAGGTTCTGGACTTTTGATTTTAAGAACATCCGATCGCTCTCTCTTTACTGTCATCTGGTTCCAAGCAATAGAAAAGAGAAAAGATAAAACTGTGGTTCAGATGCAATTTTATATCAATTCCTGCTTTTCTGTAATCAACTATTATATTAAAACAATATGCCTTTAATTTGAAAATGTATAAATTAGCTATGCAAAAAACTGGGAGAACGATATACAAATAATAAAAATTCCGAGGTTCCCTATAATTGTGTACGTCTTCCACAATACATTAAAAAAAAAAAAAGAGTTCTGAGGGTATAGGCTAAGAAGAGAAAGGAAACGGTAGCGATCTCAAAATGATAAGTTAAAAGAAATAAGTAAGTAGCTTATTTTTCAGTTGTGGGATTATGAATAATTACTATTTCATTATCTACACTTTGCTGCACTTCCCAAAATTTCTACACAGAAGATACAATCTGGAAGAAATGAAGAAAGATTTCAGTAGTAAGAACGTGTAATGAGTGATTACATGATAAATAAAACAATAAATATTTCTTTCTAGGATATTTCACCAACCAAACACGACCTGATTCACCAACTAATACTCCCGCCTTCTAACAGCCACACGTAAAAATCAGACCGGCTCCAAGAATAACCTGAGCCTCCTTTCCCATAATTCCCTTCTTTCTAGTTTCCCATGAATCCGAAGGCCTTACACCCCACACTACTACTAGAAAGTTAACCCGCCCCCTCATTCTTTACTGGTCATTCACGATTGGTCCTGCCCCACCTGTCGGTGTGAGGCTGTTGATTGGATAAGAGCGGAGGCCGGTGGGCGGAACGGTTTCTGACAACCGGCGTGGAGGCGTGGCCACAGCCGCCCAGAAATTCTACCCAAGCTCCCTCAGCACCATGTACCGAGCACTTCGGCTCCTCGCGCGCTCGCGTCCCCTCGTGCGGGCTCCAGCCGCAGCCTTAGCTTCGGCTCCCGGCTTGGGTGGCGCGGCCGTGCCCTCGTTTTGGCCTCCGAACGCGGCTCGAATGGTGAGCGCAGGCCGCCATCCCCCGGCCTCCCCGCAGTGACCTTCAGCCCTCCTGCCTGCCGGCCTGGGCGCCCGCGACTTGGCGGGAGAGATTCCCCGGGCGTCCGGGCCGCGCCAGACTCTGGGCTTAGCGCCCGTGCCGGCGTGGCGGGCCTCCCGGCCTCGGGACGCCTCTTCCGGCGCAGGGATGGAGCCGCAGCCCGGGAGAGCGCTTGGGGAGGGACGGGGGCTGTCAGAGAGGGTCCTACTGGGCCCGCTCCCGGCGCCTCCTCGGAGCCGTCCGTGGCGGGCCGAGGCCGGGGCGTTTTGAGGTAACTTCGCTGCTGCTGGCGCGCAGGCCCCCAGCCCCGGGGCGCTGCCCTCAAGGACAGTGCCGGCGTGGGCGGAGGGTGCTGGGAGAGGGGCAGCTCCCGCACCGTCCTGCCCCATAGCTGGGCCTTGCTGGCCGGACACTGGCCGCCTGTGCATCTAGTGGTTTCTGAACTGTGGTTTGTTTCGCCAAGGGGCACTGCACTGCTTTCAGGCCCTCCAGGTGGGGTAGAAGGTTCTTCGAAGATTTTACTTCCTTTGAAATTGCATGCTCAGTTTGTTAGGCTGACTATGGTTTCCCCCGTAATTGTTGTAAAACTCTTCAATTCCGAATACCGCGGGCATAGTGTTCTGAAGCATGTTTGAGCAGATTGGCTAGGAGCTGAATCGGTACTTTTTATTCAGAAAGCCAGCTAAGAACTTAAAGATCCAAGTTCAGGTTATGACATGCTTACGTAAGTCATTTTGCTCTTTAGAGTGTCATCTTTAGGAATGCAGGCTTTTAAAAAGCTTTAAATACATATGTATATTGTTAGGAAACGTTTGAGAAATGATAGTTGAAGAGTTACAGTTCTGCACTGGTGTAGCATGAGGTTTGCAATCTAAGAGATGTGATTTCAAATCCGTATGCAAAGTTGAAATACTTACAGCTACTCAGCAAAACTGCACATGTGAAAATACCATGTAGCGAGTGCTCATTAAATAAGTGCCCCATCTAGGGTATTTCAAAGGGCCAGTACTTTTTCTGGACTCTAAACTTCAAGATAATTTGATTGGGTCACTATACCTACGATATACAACTATACTACAGAATCAGAGATGTTTTGTATTCCTCGAACTCCCTGCTCGAATAATTTTAGGGCATTTTAAAACCTTTACATATTTTTAAATTTATTTATTGTTTATTTAGTGTTTTGTAAAGGGAAGCAGACTGGAGAACTTCTGAATCTATCCTGTTGATGCAAATGTCAAAAAATAGCAGCACTACTTTGCTCTTAGAATTGTAATGTTAGCTAAAATCAGATGGAGGTAGTTTTTGTTTTTTCTAGTTCTGGTACTTTTTGCCCTCTAACCATTCTCAGGTCCAAAATCTCTGTTGGTTTTGTTAAAAGTTCTTCCTGTTGCTAATGTTGAGAATTTCACATAACCCTTGATGCCCTAAGGTACCTTTTATTTAAAAGAACACATACAAATTCATTCAATAGAAAGATACTGTTTATTGAGTGCCTTCCACTTACCAGGCCCTGTAAATAAGACAGTCCCTATGGGGATAGGGTTTTACAGGCAGTGTTTTATTCTTGTCTTTAGTGGAGATTAAATAAGCAAAGCAGTTAAATAAGCAAATAAATCACACATGAATAATTAGTGTGATCATTGATTATTAAAAATGCATTAAAAAGTGCATTGAGAATGAGAATATTTAACAGGCAGACCAACTGTGATACTGACTTGGTAGCATGATGGCATATATATAGTGTTTATATATGTAAATAATGTTTATACATTTCTTATATAAATGAATATACATATGTAATATATGTGAATAATGTTTATATATAAATAATGTTTATAAATTTCAAATAATCATTCTTAGACCGTTTTCAAAAGTTCCCAGTAAAATAAGCATTAAACTAAGTACATTGAATTGGCCAAATCTTGACCAGTAATAAGCATACTCTTGAAATGGAAAAGATTACTATTTGTATTTCAAAGTCTTTATGTTTATCACCAGCATAGTATATTAGTTCTACAGTCTGTCTTTAAAGCCTGAATTAATAAGTTTGTGTGACAAAGAGCTCTCAAGGAAAGACCTGAAAGTGAGGAAGAGAATGAGAATCCAAATAGTATTTTTTTGTCTTTGTGATACTTATTCAGGTTTCTTTCTCTTTAACAGCTGATAAGATGCGATTACTTTTGATCCTGGGTTTCTTTTCAACTTGTAATAGTGTTGTATTCTTGTCTTTAGGCAAGCCAAAATTCCTTCCGGATAGAATATGATACCTTTGGTGAACTAAAGGTGCCAAATGATAAGTATTATGGCGCCCAGACCGTGAGATCTACGATGAACTTTAAGATTGGAGGTGTGACAGAACGCATGCCAGTAAGTGGCATTTGTGGAAATGTTGGCTATTTTGGATGAAGTAGGCTGTATTCATGAGTCACTTTACTTTATAAATATTTTTCAGAGTTAAAATGTAAAGTTATTAGAAAAGATGGCTTCGTGAGTAATAAGAGGTTCTCTTTCACTAAAATGTTAAAGAACTTTTTGAAGTTTTAGCATGCTATTATTTTGAGCCATCGCTTTGAATATTTTGGATTTTTTAAAATTTAAGGCCGGGCACGGTGGCTTATGCCTGTAATCCCAGAACTTTGGGAGGCCAAGGTGGGCAGATCACGAGGTCAAGAGATCGAGACCATCCTGGCCAACATGGTGAAACTCTGTCTCTACTAAAAATACAAAAATTAGCCGGGCACGGTGGCGCGCGCCTGTAGTCCCAATTACTCTGGAGGCTGAGACAGGAGAATTGCTTGAACCCGGGAGGCGGAGGTTGCAGTGAGCTGAGATCGCACCACTGCACTCCAGCCTGGCGACAGAGTGAGACTCCGTCTCAAAAAAAAAAAAATTAATTTAATTTTAAGTTCCGGGATACACATGCAGGATATGCAGTTTTGTTGCATAGGTAAATGTGTGCCATGGTGGTTTGCTGCACCTCTCAACCCATCACCTAGATATTAAAACCCGGCATTAGCTATTTTTTCTGCTGCTCCCCCTCCGCCCACAGGCCCCTGTGTGCTTTGTTCCCCTCCTTGTGTCCATATGTTCTCATTGTTCAGCTCCCACTTACAAGTGAGAACATGCGGGTTTGGTTTTCTGTTCCTCTGTTAGTATGCTGAGGGTCACAGCTTCTAGCTCCATCCATATCTCTGCAAAGGACATGATCTCATTCTTTTTTATGGTTGCATAATATTCCATGGTGGATATATACAACTTTTTCTTTATCCTTTATTGATGGACATTTGGGTTGATTTCATGTCTTTGCTATTGTGAATAGTTATTTTGGATTTTTATTTGGCAGAACTAAATGATTGTCTTTTCACTCTTGCTGGGTATTTACAGATTTTTACTAGGGTTCTACAGTTTGTAAATATTTTTATTTCAATACTCATTCTTTTTTCCCCCACTAATTTAAAACTGAGATTTTTTAAAATTACACTTTGTATTTTGGTTTCAGTTTCCTAAAAAGTGTATAGTACACAAACACATCAAAGTATTACTCTTAACCATGTCTGACATATAATAGATAATATATAAGTATTTATTCAATTCCATATGAATGATTAAATGATGAGAAAACTTTCTACCACATTCAATTAAATTTAAGATGCCATTAATTAGAAGATGCACCAATAGGCACCACTAAGAAAGAAAAATGCTACCAATTAAGGTTGTGACTTACCATTGATTACAAGATACATCTTGATTTCAGAGATGTTAAAGTGTGAAAAGAATTGAGAAATGCATAACATATTCTACGGGAGCCCAACCGGAGTATGAAAAATAGTCAATGCAGGATAGGCTAGTAAGCCTAGAAGTAGATAGGCTTCATCCTGTGAGATATTGTTTAACACTTATCTTATAAATATGCTTTTATTTTCAATAATTTTAAGTCATTCCTAAGCCTTCAAGACTGCCTCTTGACAGGTATATAGAACTTTACAACAGGCAGCTGAATCTTTGATGAGAATATCTTTGTCATTGCCATCTACAGCCTTCTTGGTGGTGAGGTAAACATAGTTTGACTACGTGGTTAGGTGAAAAAGGGTAGTGACCAATCCTAAAATAATCTCATATTATTCAACTCCAGAGACTAAGGAGGAGGTCAGCCCCAGCTAGTGTTGGTGGGAGTGAGCATGGCTGCCGTTTTCATTGATCTGTGTCACCAGCATGTTTTGTGGTTCTGGTGGGGCATGGTTCCTGCTGCTGCTGCTCCAGAGACAGCACAGCCATTGGGATTGCACACCTGTGAAAGGCAGACACCTGGGGTCTCGATTTTGTCATACTTTCTGAACTTTATTATGTGTAAAACAGTCTGTATGTACTCTAAACTGAGTAGTATGATTAAACTCAACCCTTTTTACTTGAGGTCCAGAGGAAAACAAAGCTAAAAAGATTATGAACATCTAATGTGAATAAATTAAGAATAAAGTGACCTGTCTTTTCTCTCTAGTGATACATTTTGCCATTTTATGGTGTTCGTTGAACCTCTTTCTGCTGTGAATGACCCTTTTTTATTTTTATGGTCCATAAACACTGGGGGTCATTCACTCCATTCAGATGGCCAGCGTTGATTGGCATTCACCTTTGCCCTTGGTAGTGGTTCAGCCCACTACCTCAGTGTTTGTTACTGTGGAGATTTAAATTCCCATTTGTTTTTGTGTTTAAAGTTTTTAAGTTTCTAATCCTGTGTGCCATCTGTCCTCATTTCGTTTGAGTCAAACGTTTCTAATGTTTTAATTTTAGTTACTTAAAATTGAAATTTCAAATTTTCTGGTTTTCCTTTTCTATTTGACCCTCAGCTTATACTTACTCTGGTCCAGGTTTATGTTTTTAATGTGTCTTATTTCTTACTTTTCTTGGCTTTTTCTACTTTGATTCCAGAGATAGCAGGTTCTCTCTTATACATTCATCATTCTCTTCCTTTCTTCCCTTTCTCCCTTCTACTCTTTCCCCATTCAAACCTGGTGTGGGATCTATACAACAATCTGTATTATTAATTTTGACAAGAACTCACAATTCACTTGTCTTATAAAAACTAGGTTTTCATTTCAGTTTATCCTTTTCAAGCTTGGTGAGGTGATTTGGGATAGACAATGAAAATATCTGCATTAATGGGGTTTTATATATATCGGAAGCTGTCACCTTTAGGTCTGGAGAATCTTGGGTTTAAAAAAATAATTCTTCTGAGAGAAATGTCCAGGGAGTTACTGAGTATTAAGGCTTTACTAGCTAAGTAGAATAGATTGCTTTTTGGCCTTGGGGTGAAATGATAACCCAGTCAGTCACTGGTAGTCTCATACTGATTGGCAGTTAAATATATCCCTTATTTATTTATTTTTTTAAGAGGGGAAGGAAACAATTATAATGTAACGTGGGATCCAGTAAGAGAAAATAATGGTTCTTGCTGGTGAAAAGATTGAGTACTAAATTTGTTTTTATTTATAGTATATGAAATAAACACATATAATTTATTGTGTGTATTTGTGCATAGGATTGTATTCGTGTGAATATGTGTGTATATGTATGTGGGAGACGTACACACATATATATATGAAGAGTCAATGTATTTGTTTTTATTTGGTTCCTTAAACAAATAGATCTATGATAATGTTGATTCTTGGTTCATGAATTCCTGTCTATAATCTTTCTCTATAACCGAAACATTTTAGAGCTATAGTGTTACTGTTTTATTGTTATTGTTTTATGTATAGCTTTTGCATCTGCCAAAATAATAAACTTCCATGCTTAAGTAAAATTGTAAATTTGAAATATTTTTCTGATTAATTTTAGACCCCAGTTATTAAAGCTTTTGGCATCTTGAAGCGAGCGGCCGCTGAAGTAAACCAGGATTATGGTCTTGATCCAAAGATTGCTAATGCAATAATGAAGGCAGCAGATGAGGTAGGAGGTGATAAGTGTGTTTGCTTAATAACCTCAGACCCATGCCATACTCTGGATGACGATATGCTCTGGCAGAAGGAAAGGGGAACTGTGAATTCTTGAATTAATGAATTTCAGGGGAGGGTGGTAGCATTATTTTTAGTGGTGATATTAATATGGTGCTTAAAACGTTACATTGTGACAAAATTTCTGGATGATTTTATACCTTTTGTTTTTAAGCCTTTTGACTTTCCTTAATTTATATAGTTTTAAGAAAATTTTTTGAAAAGATATCATTTGAACTTTACTTGATTTTTTATTTTATATATAAATCTTTTTAAAACCAGTTGATTATTTGATAATGCATATTGAGAATGTAATTTTACTAATATGCTAATAACATTGTCTTAAAGAAGCAATCAGAGGTAACAGAACTGTATATATAGTGTTGTTAATTACAGCACTATTTATAATAATGAAAACAAATTAGACAATGCGTAACTATAACAGCTACTTATATAAATTATATTTATATGGTAAATTATAGAAAATTACTTTTTTGAAGATTGGCATGCACAAAGCCTAGCCTATGAGAAATAGGGAGGAAAGTTTGCAAAAATATATGTATTTTACGATCCTAATTTTGTTTAGGAAAAAATGAACAGAAAGTGTGTGTTTCTCATATACACACACACACACACACACACACACACCCTCATTGCATGAGATAGAGACTGGGGATGCCAACATGCTAATAGTCATAATTACTGAGCAATAGAACTATAGTGACTGTTTTACTTTTCTCAGTTCTCAAAATTTTCTACACTAATCACATATTTTTATATAACCAGAAAAAAGTTTTATTTTAAAGTGGACCAGTTGTTCAAGGTAATAGATTTCTCAAGTGCATTCTGATTTTTTAAGCTAAAATCATTCCAGAAGATTGTTAACCACCCATATTTTACAAAGCACACCATCCAAAAACTAACACATAAGCTGGATGTATAAAAATACAACAAAAATAGGGGCAAATCTGGGCAGCGTTTATTTCTACATTTGGTGATTACTGCTCATTGGACATCTGTGCAATGAAGTAGCTATTAGTGAACTCACATTTTCAAGTTACTAGCTCATTAGCATGCTGACTCTGGCAATAACATCTGTTGGATATTCCTGCTGAGCACCAGCAACAAATATATCTAGAGACTAAACGTATTTGCCAGCCTTAACAGGTGGTCCTCTGTTAGAGGAGGCTGTGGGAGAGAGATAAGAAAGATACCTTTGATTCCCTTTTCATTTGAAACCAGTGAATTGTCATACCATTCACTATAGATAATATTTCACTTTTTAAAGTATCTGTGGTTGGAGCAAGTGATGCTTCAGAAGCTTAGATATGTGGGTCAACTGTATTCAAACTCTGTGGCATAATCAGCATTATTATTTCCTTTTTTAAAATACATTTTTAACATTTTTTCTGCAGGTAGCTGAAGGTAAATTAAATGATCATTTTCCTCTCGTGGTATGGCAGACTGGATCAGGAACTCAGACAAATATGAATGTAAATGAAGTCATTAGCAATAGAGCAATTGAAATGTTAGGAGGTGAACTTGGCAGCAAGATACCTGTGCATCCCAACGATCATGTTAATAAAAGCCAGGTCAGTATGTGAGCTTTGCTGTTTTTTGGTTATAAATTGAAAAGCATACCTGAGATTGTTCTTGTAAAACAAGCATTCACTTTTTGACAAGAAGTGTTCATTATTTAATGGATAAGGCTTCTTATGGTTCTTATTTCTTGAAGGAATCTTGGTTTTATGTTTCAATCCTTATAAAAATTATTTTTAGGACACCTGAATTTAGTGTATGTATTTTTTTATTGTTTAAAACTCTATTTTGAAATAATTTTAGATTTATAAGAGAATTGCAAAGATAGTTCAAATAGTTTCTATATCCCTTCACTCAGCTTCCCTTATTGTTAACATCTTATGTAACCATGGTACATTTATCAAAACTAAGAAATTAACATAGATACAGTACTCTTAGCTAAACAACAGACTTTAAAAAAAAAACAAAAAACTGAGGCTTTCCTCAGTTTTTCCACTCATGTTCTTTTTCAGGATCCAATCAATGCTATACATTACATTTAGTCACATGTCCCCTTGGTTTCTTCTAATCTGTGACAGTTTCTTGGTCTTTTGCGATTGTCTCAGTCCTTTGGGGCTGCAGTAATAAAATACAATAGACTGACTGGCTTATAAACAATAGAAGAAGTTAATTTGTCACAGTTCTGGCAGCTAGAAGTCCGAGGTCAGGCCACTGGCCAATTCATTGGCTTGGTGGGGGCCCACTTTTTGGTTTGTAGATGGCCATCTTTTCTGTGTCCTCACATGGTAGAAGGGACAAGGGAGCTCTCTGGGGTCTCTTCGTAAGGACACTAATTCCGTTCATGAGAGCTTTGCCCTATGAACTAATCACCTTGCAAAGGCCGCATCTCCTAATACTATTACCCTAGGGGTTAGGATTTCACATAGCAGTGACCTTGACACTTTGAAAGCAGTGGTCAGGTATTTTGTAGAATGTCCCTCAATTCTGGTGTGTCTGACGTTTTCTCATTAGATTGAGACTTTTGAATTTTTGAGAAAACTATCACAGAAATAAAGGGCCCTTCTCATTGCATCATATCAGGGGTTCATGATAGCAACATGACTTTTACTGGTGATGTTAACCTTAATCACTTGGTTAAGCTGGTACTTGCCAGGTTTCTCCATGGTAAAATTATAATTTTTCCTCTTCTATACCCTGTTCATTAGAAATAGGTCACTAAACCCTGCCTGCATTCCAGGCACTGTATTTCAGTTTCTAGAGGGAGGAGTATCAAAAAGTTTTTGGGCTTACATTAAAATCACTGTAGTAATTAATAGCGCGCTACCTTGAGGCTAGGCAAACATCTTCTTTTTCCTTAAACTTTTTCCTACTATTTTTAGCATTCATCAGGGAATCTTATCTACAGCAATTACTTCCATGGTGTTTTAATAGTGATTTTCAGTTTTCTTTATTCATTCTACACTTGTTAGTTGAATTTTTCTGCAAGGAAGATTTGTTCTCTCTGTCCCATTTATTTATTTATTCAGTTATTTGGGTATATCAGTATGGACTGATGGTTATTTATTTTATTCTTCAGGTTATGATCCCATACTTTTGTTTATATTGTTGCTTAAATTCTTTCAGCTCTGGGAACCCAATTCATTTGGCTCTTGTGTCCTTTTAGGCATGCCACCATCCTTTTACTTTTCTGAAGTGTGTTCCGACTTCCTGGTACTTTAAGATGCTCCAAGCTCATTGTCTTGTATTGTTTCTGCCCCAGCCCTAGAAACAGCCATTTTTCAAGGAACTGTTGGAGAATTCTTATTGGAAAATGATATTTAGAAACTGAGATCTGGGTGCTAAGTATAATTTAATATATTTTTAAGTAGTAAGGAAGAAGTGTTTTTAATACACGTTCATTGTATAAGGGATTTTCCCAATCTAATACTTGCCTTTATGAATTTATGTTCTATATATACTGAAGTCTGAAGTCTGCCTCAGAAAGGTAGAGTTATAGATGAAACGTGATTGGCTACATGTTGATAATTATGTAAACTATTTGAATTCAGGTGACAGGTACATAAGTGTTTATTATACCATTCATCCTACTTCTTTCGTAAGTACTTTATATTTTGCATAGTAAACGTCAAAATATATAAATAATGTATCTTTTTAAATGACAGTATACTTTTATATATATCTGTGTGTGTGCATGCGTGTGTGTGTGTGTGTGTGTGTGTGTGTGTGTGTGTGTGTGTGTGTTTAGAGATTGTGCTTCACTCTGTCACCCAGGCTGGAGTGCAGTAGAGTGAGCATAGCTCACTGCAGCCTGGAAATGCTGAGCTCCAGGGATCCTCATGCCTTAGCTTCCTGAGCAAGTGGGACCATAGGCATGCACCGCCATGCCTGGCTAACTTTAAAAATGTTTTCAGAGACAGGGTATTGCTCTGTGTTGCCCAGGCTGGTCTTAAACTCCTGGCCTCAATTGATCCTCCTGCCTCAGCCTCTGAAAGTGCTGAGGTTATAGGCATGAGCCACTGCACCCAGCTTGATATTATGTTTTAAAAGTACAGGGTCAACAGTTGAGGAAAGAGCACTGAGTATATACTACCTGGCTAGGTCTCAGGTTTGCCAGTTGCTAAATATTTTGGCATTTATACAGTCTCTTTGAGGGCTTGGCTTTCCTATTTTTAAAGTGGTAATCTACCTCACAGAATTTTTCTAAACTTAATAAAGAGCTGTTTATGAAAGACTGTATGCACTGTATAATTGTAAGATATTCAATTATAAGATTTTATAAGAATATATAATTCAATAATTGATGTAATTTGATATAATTATAAGATATTCAACTACATTGAAGATACTACTGCTGTCTTCAAGTGCAGTTGTTAACTATACTTCTCTGTATTTTGCTGTCATTTATTAGCAGGCAGATATAATACGTAATACATAATATAATACATAATATATTATATAATACATAATATAATATAATACGTAATACATATATAATACATAATACATTCAGTATACTTAATGTGTATAATACAGTTCTGAGTATGTGTTAGAAACCAGGATGCTGCTTATTTGATTCTATAATAACTCACCTATGACATGCCACACATACATGTAACTGAGCTGGGTTTTGAGTAGTTAGTTGGAGAGTTTTTTAATTGAGAAGTTTAATTCAGAAGTTTGTTTTTGTTGCCTCTGATTTAACATTTTATATTTCTTTTGAAAAATTTCCAACAGAGCTCAAATGATACTTTTCCCACAGCAATGCACATTGCTGCTGCAATAGAAGTTCATGAAGTACTGTTACCAGGACTACAGAAGTTACATGATGCTCTTGATGCAAAATCCAAAGAGTTTGCACAGATCATCAAGATTGGACGTACTCATACTCAGGATGCTGTTCCACTTACTCTTGGGCAGGTATAGGAGTTTGACTAATTTGATTCAATTTAGAGCTTGGTACAAATGGCCAATGTGTCATCCTTGAAATCTGACTAGCTTAAAAGGCCAAATTTGTAACCGGAAACTTCAGTGACAGAGGTTGTTCTGTTCAACCAATCAGTAATTTTCATTGACATCCACTTAGAAGAAAAGCAGAGTATACTGGCTATAAGTCAGATTCAGTCAGACTGCTCGGGTTCAAATCTTAGCTTTGCTGTGTACAAGCTATGGGACCATAGGAAAGTCATTTAGCCTTTCTGTGCCTCAGTTTTCTGAGCTACAAAATGAGGAAAATAATTTCCCTTTCATAGGATAGTTGTGAAGCTCTAGTAAGTTGATTTATGTAGAGTGCTTAGAAGCATGCCTGGCACACAGTAAGTACCCATTCATGTTAGCTACCATCATCACCACCGTCATCGCTGTCATCTCCATCAGTATCATCATGGTTTTTCTTTTGTCTTTCTTACCTAAATTAGTAGGTTATTTAAAATTTAATCTCAAAGTGATTAAATAAGGTAGATCTTTTTAAGATGGATCTGGCCGCATGTGAAGGAGATACTACTCTCTTCTCCAAGATATTAGAAAGTATTTTCATGTTTCTTTTTCAATGCCTTAAGGAATATCTAATAGTATACATTGTGAAGGAAATGTAAGGAAATACAGGGAATGACTTTTGTCTTAGTAAACTCACACTCCAATTGGGGTAGCTTAATTTCCTTATGGAAGGAATGAGGAAAACTTGAAATGAGTAATTGAAAAACAAATGATGGGACTAAATTGAACTCACTGGATTGAGTTGCTTCTTAAGGCTGTGTCTCATTTCTCTTTGCATCATTAGTACTTAGGACCATGCATAATTTCTAAGGAGGAACAGTATGTATGTTTTGAAACTTTTGAATATTTCTCAAGTTTCTAATTTTAACCTTTTTTTGGTGTTGAAAACTACAATACTAAATACCATTTGGGCCATGACTCAGCCTCCTGTGTAAAATCATCATTCTTCCTGTTAAGACAGAAAATTACATTTTTCTGTTTGACTTTATCAGAAGCATTTATACTTGCTTTTATTGGGATTGTCTTTTGAGTTCGTGCATTGTTCCCTGTCAAAGTGTATTTTATAAGTGAATCTATCTAGTGTGTTTGTGTGTGTGTGTATACATACAGTCATGTGTTGCTTAGCAATGGGGGTATGTTCTGAAAAATGCATCCTTAGGCAATTTCATAGTTATGTGAACATCACAGAGTATACTCACACAAACCTAGATGGTATAGCCTTCTATACACCTAGGCTATATGGCATAGCCTTTTCCTCCTAGGCTACAAATCTGTGCAGCATGTTACTGCATTGGATACAATAGGCAATCGTAACACAATGGTAAGTATTTGTGTATCTAAACATATCTAAATGTAGAAAAGGTACAGTAAAAATACGGTTTTATAATCTTAGGGTCCCACTGTTTATGTGATCTTTCGTTGGCTGAAACATCATTATGTGGTGCGTGACTGTATATGAGTGATGTTATATCAGATGCATCAGGTCTACCTATAATGAGTTATATCTTTTGAAATGTTTTCTTTAGAACAGTATGGCATCCTGTCACTTATGGTTTTTTAGTGTTTTCAGGCAGGAAAAAAGGATAGATTTAGTGTAACCATGTATCTTGGTTTGTCCAGTTAACTCCCAGTGTATGCCTTTTGTTTCTGCATGACTATTAATAGAGCCCTTTCTGTGTTCAAAACATAAATTCTGTGGTTGCTTTAATTAAGGCATGTCAAAATTTGGAACCAGTGTTGACATTGGCACATTGATGCTATGATCTGACTCTACCGTTACCTCCTATTCTTTTTGGAAGGTCCTTCAATGCAAACTGTTACCTTCCTGTGCTATTCAGTGAGTCATTAGCTTCCCAAGTCTCTGTAGAATGTCTTCATATTTCCTGGTAGGTTTATACACTGAAATTGTATGGAGAATATTTCTATGTTTGCATTTTTTTGGGGGAGATGAGTTACTATTTTTTCTTACACCAAAGTTGTCTGAGGCATCCCAAAAAATAAGAAATCACTTCAGTTTCTTTAGTAGACTGCAAGTAAACCAATAATTTAGTGTAGTAAAGTTGTTCTTTTTAAAGTGTATTTCCTGTGCTGTTTTTCTTTGCTTCCTATTAAAAGACTAGATTATAATAAATAGGCTGCATGTTATCAGTGGCATTGTCGTACCTTATGGTTCTATAAACCCTCATCCTTCCCTATACTTTGCTCATCATAAGATTTGAAGTAGTATAAATAAAACTTGATTAGCTTGTAATTTAGTATTCTGAAAGGTATTTTTAAAAATTTCTATTTAATGCAGTTAGAGTAACTTGTAAGCTATTAGGAATTACTTATTCTTACCTTAATTTTCTTTTCTTTTCAGGAATTTAGTGGTTATGTTCAACAAGTAAAATATGCAATGACAAGAATAAAAGCTGCCATGCCAAGAATCTATGAGCTCGCAGCTGGAGGCACTGCTGTTGGTACAGGTTTAAATACTAGAATTGGCTTTGCAGAAAAGGTTGCTGCAAAAGTGGCTGCACTTACAGGTTAGTGATCACGTGAATTATTTCTCATTTTCATTTCTCATTATACGTGGTCTGTACATTTTCTGAGTGTTCCTGTCTTGAATTCTTGTGAATTTAAAGTTAGAAATGATATTTTTCCATCAAACATGTGTTTTAAGTATATTTCTGAAGTTATAATGTTAATTATTTGCCTTTTAAAAAATGTTCCATGTAGGAGTTTATACAGCATGCCATTAAAATCTACCAGTGTTAGCTTTGTTTACTAGTTAGTTTTCAATTAATTTCCCTTTAAAGTTTTGAATAGCAGTTTTCAAAATAGGCAGAAAAAACTGAGTGTTGAGTAAGTTATTTGAATAGTAAATATGTTGTAGACAGACTTAATTTCTTTTTTTTCCTATTATGTCATGCTGTGATAATTCTTTGAATTATTGACCTTTTTGAACCATGTCTTTCCTTTAGTAGAGAGAGTATTATACTTTAGATAATGATAACTATTATTAGGGCCAAGTTGTCATCTTCAGAAAACTCTCATTAAGATGTAGATGTTACCAGACGGTTAGGGTAGAGATAATTATACACTGCACATGATAGCTTACCAGCTGATTTGTCTTTAAACCATATTTTAATAGAAAAGAACTCTACTTTTAGGGTTTGGCAAATGTAGATTTATAAAATTTTTAACATGGGGGTTAACTGAGAACATCTAACTCATTTTAGCACACTGTTTTTATAGGGGATCTTGTGGGCTCCTGGCTAGGGGAGAGGATGAAGCACAGTAAAGTGGACAAAGAAACTTTAAAAAATTGTATTAGGGGCCGGACATGGGGGCTCACACCTGTAATCCTAGCACTTTGGGAGGCCAAGATGGGCAGATCACTTGAGGTCAGGAGTTCGAGACCAGCCTGGTCAACATGGCGAAACCCTGTCTCTAGTAAAAATTTAAAAAAATTAGCCGGGCATGGTGGCGGGCGCCTGTAACCCCAGCTACTTGGGAGGCTGAGGCAGGAGAATTGCTGGAACCCTGGAGGAGGAGGTTGCAATGAGCCAAGATCGTACCACTGCCCTCCAGCCTGGCTAAAAAAGCAAGACTCTGTCTCAAAAAAAAAAAAAAGAAAAAAGGTATTAGGAAAGGAGTGTGGTATAAACCAGAATGAATTCCCATATACTTTTTACTCAAGCATAGTCAGGCATCATATACGTGTGTTTGCAGTAGGATTGTGTTTTTTCTTTCAGTACATTTATCATACTTGTTATTTCATCTTTTTAAAATGTAGTGCCTGGCTAAGCACAGTGGAATTACACTCCTGTAATTCCAGCACTTCAGGAGACCAAGGTGGGTGGATCGCTAGAGCCTAGGAGTTTGAGACCAGCCTGGGCAACATGGCGAAACCCCATCTCTACTAAAAATTAAAGAATTAGCTGGGCGTGGTGGTGTGCACCTGTAGTCTTAGCTACTCTGGAGGCTGAGGTGGGAGGATTGCCTGAGCCATGGAGGTTGAGGCTACAGTGAGCTGTGATTGAGCCACACTGCACTCCAGCCTGGGCAGCAGAGTGAGACCCTGTCTGAAAAAACTTAAAAAATGTAATACCAGATTCTTTCTACTCCTTTAGGACTTCTTTTAAAAATGTAGACAAAATTTGAGTCTTAAGTAAACATTTTTTTCTGAAGTAAAATTTTTATTTTTTCGTATATTGGAACTTTCTGTTTCACTTGCTAATGGTAGAAAAATGTTTAGTTTAACTTGTTCACCCATCTAGGATATTTTTCTTTTCTTTAGGCTTGCCTTTTGTCACTGCTCCGAATAAATTTGAAGCTCTGGCTGCTCATGACGCTCTGGTTGAGCTCAGTGGAGCCATGAACACTACTGCCTGCAGTCTGATGAAGATAGCAAATGATATTCGATTTTTGGGTTCTGGTCCTCGGTCAGGTCTGGGAGAATTGATCTTGCCTGAAAATGAACCAGGAAGCAGTATCATGCCAGGTAATCACATAGCTAGTAAATGTTGGAGCTAAAACTTGACTAGGTCCTAGGCATTCTTAGCTATGGACCATGTCTCTCTTTGTTTAAAGTTATCCCGCAGCTGGATGCGCAAGGCGCACTGTTCCAGCATGTCTGTGGTCCTCTGGTCAGGACTGCTGGGCACGTCACCTGACAAGATAGGAAGAAAGAATCTGACTTAGCAGCAAGTATTTCGAATCCCACATTAGAAAATGTAGAGCAGGCTGTTAAAGTGATCAGCGCGGGTTGAATAAAAAGAAGTCATACCAAACTTCACTTATTTCATTTTTTGCATTCCGTTATATGCCTGTTAGATATAGCAAGTGACACAACAGTGTATGTCTGGATTTCAGCAAGTCATTTGATAGATTCGCATGATAGTCATTGATTCCAGTGGAGAAGCGTGGGCAGTGCTGGCAGATGAATGTAGCTGGGTGAACAGTGACATTTCAGAAGTGACTAATGAAGTGACTTCAGTCTAGAAGAATATATTGGTAACAAGCTGAAGGGCTCTGCCCTTCAACACTTTACTGGTGACTGAGGGTGAAGGAAGAGAATACATGCTAATCATATTAACAGTTAACAAAGTTGGGATAGCAATACTATGGATGACAGAACTGAGATCCATAAAGGCCACTGTAGCTTGGGCTAAAACTGACAATGTAACTTTTAATAGTGAGAAAGGCCTGACTCTAGATTTTTATGGAAATTATGGATCTGTAGAATAAGAAGAGATGAAATTTTGTTTTAAAGTACTTCATGTTGAAGAATGACATAAAGGTTTAGTTGATTGCAAATCCAGGGTGATTGCCAAAAGAAAGAGAACTGGGGGAGTCACAGATAAAGGCAATAATCCACCCAATAATCTTTCCAGTGTGTTAACTTGTACTGGTCAGAGGAATCTGGGTTGTTTGATTCAAACTTGGAGCTTGTCCAAGGAGTGTGAGCAGGGTAGTGGGGTTCCAGAGACTCGTGATAAATAGGAAAATTTTAGCTTAGCATCACCTTCCCCTAGGAAGCCTCCCATGTGTTAGTGAAGGGTCGCTTTTATAAGTGTTCTGATAGCAGCATACACTACTCTGTATTTACCCCTTATAATTGCCAGCTCTTTCTCCCTAGCCTCCAAGTTCTGCGAGGGCAGGGCCTGCATCTTTCTTATTCAGTGTTGTATATTGAGTGCCTGGCTCCATAAATATGTATAGAATGAATGAAAATCATGAAGGTGGAGAACTATATTTAATGTGTAGTTGTGGCTACTCGTTAGCCTTTGAATGATTCATTTTGTGGCTACCCATCCCACCTTCCTTGGTTGGTTTGTTTCATTAAATTACACTGATGGTTGGGCCTTGCTTTATTGTATATCTTACTCTATTTAGTGAAATTAGATTTCTTTATTCTCCTGATTATTTGCATAAATTTAGTCTTTACTCTGTCATTGGTGGTTTTCTTGAAGGCAAGGTGAACCCTACTCAGTGTGAAGCAATGACCATGGTTGCAGCCCAAGTCATGGGGAACCATGTTGCTGTCACTGTCGGAGGCAGCAATGGACATTTTGAGTTGAATGTTTTCAAGCCAATGATGGTAAGCTTTAAATCTGATTTTTAATGTTTTTTGACCAAAGGCTTATTATCTTGGTTTTGTATTTCATAAAGACTTCTAGTGATTCCACATTGGGTAGTTGGGTGACATAAGTAGCAGTTGGAAGTCAAGCATTTATTAAGTTACCAGAATAATCCTAGATAATAGAAATTAGTTGACTTTTAACCTAAGCAATTTGATGTTTTTTTTAATAGCCCGTTTAAGAAAAATAAAATGCCTCCCTACAAGCCTGTCTCCTTCTCATGCTGCTGCTTTCTTCTTCAAATTCAGTCTTCTTGGAAGGATAGCACATACTCACTTTCATTTATGCTGTAGTCACCACAGCCCAGCATGGCCCCCTCCACGCTTGAATTATTCTCCCATTCATTGGTGACTACCTCAGTCCAGCTGGCATTGCGCAGTTAGTTCTTCCCTTACTAATAGTTGATGTTGACTGTCCCTCCTTGAAACATTCTTCATCCCTGCTTTCTTGAACATTTTTTCACCAGTTCTTCTTCTGCCCCCTGTCAGACTTCGTTTCATTGTCTGGCTTTACCTTTCCACATACTTGAAAACATTGTGTCCACCCAAACCGTTCTTTTTCTTTCGTCTTTACGAAGATCGATAGATGCATCGCGCCATTTCTCATCAGTTTCCTCAGCTGCAGATAGTGGAGCTGTTGCCATAATTTAGAGTCCTTCATTTGGACAAAGTGTTATAGCTAAAGTAGAGTAGGGGCTTACTTTCTCTTGGAATCTCTTCTAAATTCTAATTTTAATTTTATAAGAATATGCAAATGACAAATATGGAGTATATTTAATATATTCACTAAATATTTATTGAGTACCATTTTCTATCAGGCACTGTACTGGATGCATAATAGAGATAGAGCAATGAAAAGACAGATTTCTTGCTCTCATGGAATGTATATCCTAGTGGTAAATAAAAACACAGGCCAGAGCAGAACTCAGACTGTTAAAATTTTGCTCTCAGGTCAGATTCCAAACAGTTAACACGAGATACCCAGCATTTATAGGTGCATAACAATAAATGCCTTGTTAATCTTTTTAAAATTTTATTTTTAATGTAAAATAAAGATAATCAATATTTGCCTTATTACAAGGTCATTAGTAGCAAATTAAAACTTAGATTATATGTCTTAGAGTCCATTGTTGGAAGTCTAGTTTTCAGACCGGAGTTTTAGACCAGAGGATATTAGGATTTGGATATATCTTAATAAATATTGGAAATGTTGCCAACAAAGCCAAAACAAACTAATTGATTTTATACTGTTTTTTAATATTATATGAAAAGTTATTTTACAGTGACTGGAGTATTCGTTAAAGCATAGAAAACCTAGAAATTTGGTGATCATTAGATTTTGCCCTGACTTTACTAATTGCCTCACACTCATACTGAACTTTCGAACCTCTGCATCTTTGCTCCTCTTCCTTCTGCGTGGAAGATTCTTTTTCCTTCTCTGGCCAAGTCCTCTCCATAAAATAGGATTTCACCAGTTCCGACAACTGGAGTTAATTTCTCTTTCTCTATGGTCTCTAACACTTCAGACCTCTGTTTTAAATACTTGCTATGGGCTATTTTGTGTTTTAGTCATTTGTATTTATGTCTTTTTCACCTTTTTTAGATTTCTGTGCCTTCAAATGTTCATGCTTTCTTTCACATTTGTTTCCTTGGTTATAGTGCCTTAAAATTTGTAGAAGATCTATATGTTTATTGAATTGTATATTTACTGTCAACCAGAAAATAATATGTTATTGGACAAAAAACATGTTGCCTTAGTAATGTCTCTCTCTCTCTCTCTCTCTCTCTCTCTCTCTCTCTCACTCACTCAAAGATTAAAAATGTGTTACACTCAGCCAGGCTGCTGGGGGATGCTTCAGTTTCCTTTACAGAAAACTGCGTGGTGGGAATCCAGGCCAATACAGAAAGGATCAACAAGCTGATGAATGAGTCTCTAATGTTGGTGACAGCTCTCAATCCTCATATAGGTAAGTGTTTAAGGAATAATAATATCATTTTGAATGCAAAATTAAAAAGCTAAACCATTTTTAAGAGACAAGTGGATCAGTGTTTGAGAACAGCAAATTTCTTTTGAATATGGTTTTAGTAAAATCTCAAAATATTTGAAATTGTGTGGAAAGGTACTATATAACTTGTATGGTGTCATAGTTCTTTCAAAACTAGATCTATTATGCCTCATTTTATTTGAAATGTATCGAGAAGTAGTAGTTCAAACTTATTTTGATTTTAATGGAATTCAGACGCCAAATATTCTATGCAGACCATTGGGGAAGGTTATTTGTAAGACCTTCAGTGGGTAATGTCACTAGGTGGCACTGCTGATTAGCAACATTGAATGAACTCATTTTTCTACCTTCCCTAGATCTCTACAATGCTTTAATTTTGTTGTTTTATTCAATTCAGAAATGGAAAGTTACAATTAAAAGAAAAAGTTTATGTATTCATTGCTTATAGTGAAAGGGAGGAAGGAAAATGCAAATATTTTGTCTAAAACCATGCTATTGTATTATAAGTCTTTTTTGGAACTGTAAATATTTCATTATGTAGAATCAAACATACAGATTTGGGTAGTAGACTGACCATAGAGATCTCCATTAAATAAACTGTTTACACTTTTGTAGATTTTGAGGCATTATGTTGCATTATATTATGATGTGTTAAAAGCCTTTTACCCATTCTTCCTTTCTGCTAAGCAGAGGTTAATATATTTTCTGCCTTTCTGTTATAGAACAAGTTATGATTCACTTATTTGGCATAATATGGCTACTGCTTCTTCTATAATCTTGAACTTTCAAGGCAAATTTTATATTCCTGGTTTCACATCAAGCTATAATTACAGTTTTTTAAAATTAGAGCTCATTTGACTCTTTTAGGTAGCTCTGAGCCCAGTATGATATCAGTTTTTTGGTGTGGCATTGAGATTGGTAATAATGTTTGATCCATTTAAAATTATGGTACATCAACTACATCTGGAAAAACACAAAGGGGAACCCAGAGGCTCGTGTGAGCAGTTTTCATCAGATCTTTACTTCAGAATGTGTTACCAAAACTTTAAATTAGAGGTG
The DNA here is from genome assembly GCF_000001405.40 of Homo sapiens. Lineage (NCBI taxonomy): Eukaryota > Metazoa > Chordata > Mammalia > Primates > Hominidae > Homo > Homo sapiens. The sequence continues at coordinate 241,499,338 of NC_000001.11, read as the reverse complement.
TCTCCTAAAGTTGAATGATTGGCAAATCTTTATTGGAATCAACTTATTGTGACATAAAAAGAATTGTTAGAGGCCATATGAGAATGAGATGGGTCAACACCACCTCACTAGTTGACTTGGTGTGAGCCTTACAACCCTCTGAATCATGGGTTCCCTATATTCTCATTATGTACCAGGCTGGTTGCCAATAGTGTCTTGTTGGACTTGACAGCTGAAATGCTTAGACTTTAAAGCCATTATTAAAATAAAAGTACTGGATATATATTGATCTCAAGAGTTTAACATGCAAATTCTTTCTCAAAGCATTTCTGCTTTAAGAAAGATGCCCTTTTCAGTAAATGGCATCAATAAATGCCCTTTCAGATCAATAAATGCCCTTTTCAACATATTTAGCATTCACAAATTCAGTTAAGTAATAAAAGTAACTATGCCCATGCTTTCTTTTATAGCTGATTAATAATTGCATATTGACACATGCCATCTTATTGATGATGTATACTGCCTCAGCAAGCTTCTTCCTTTTGGTCATATTTCTCTGATCTTGTTTTTTTTCTCCCGCATTGGTTTCATTTTCATTCCTGCTTTTTCTTCTTGACATATATATATATATATATATATATATATATATATATATATATATATATGTTAAGACAGCTTGCAGAACTGCCCTGCCCCCACTTTTATTAATTTGAAAAGCAAATAACTCTGAAGTAAACAGTATGCCTGTGATCTTTTGTGCAGTCTGTATTTCTGCCCAGACTCCCTATTTGTGTCCCTGTAATGTCTGGGAGGAGGCCAGGGTATAGAAGCCATTGCAGTGGAGAGCCACATAGAGAAGAGCCATTGGAAGCAGCTCTGGAGGCACCCCTCCCCAGGCCCTGCCTGCGCCTGCCTCACTGCGAGGACTTCTCCCCTCTCAGAGCCACTCACCACAGTTGCCAGACGTGCAGTGCTTTATTTTCTGCTGGACTGGAGCATTTAGCTTGTTAATGTTTCTTTAGAAAGATAATTGTTTCTAGTTAAACATGTTGTTTGAAAAATATACCCAGATGTATATTTTTATGTCGTGGTGCTATAATTTCTACTTTTTTCCCCTTCAAAATATCTAAGTTACTGGAAAATTTCAACTTAGGAACAAATCTGTTGGAGAAAGTGAGGTATGTTTAAGTGTTTATTTCTTAAGGAAAGTAAATGTTCTACATAAAAAATGATTATTGAGATAATCACTGTTAACTAATTTAAAAACAAAAAATGTCATTTAAGAGGCCCATATAGCATCAATATCAAGTAAACAATTATGTCACCTTTTGCTTTAGGAAACCAAATATCACTGCTAACCCATATGTCGTCTTTTTATTTTTTCTTCAGGGTATGACAAGGCAGCAAAGATTGCTAAGACAGCACACAAAAATGGATCAACCTTAAAGGAAACTGCTATCGAACTTGGCTATCTCACAGCAGAGCAGTTTGACGAATGGGTAAAACCTAAGGACATGCTGGGTCCAAAGTGATTTACATAAATTTATAATGAAAATAAACATGTATAAAATTTAAAAAAACAGACTCCCATTTCTTAAAAACGGATAAGTTTGAAAGGAAACTGCTATTGAACTTAAGCATCTCTAGCAGAGCAATTTGATCAGTATATAAAACCCTAGGATGTGCTAGGTCTAAGATGGATTAAACAAGTATAAAATAAAATACATTTATAAAATAAAAAGGAAAACAGACTTAAATTTTCTCCTATGTTAATTGACTTGTATTATAGTTGAATCTATGATATTTGTGCATGTTGTCTTTGTGACTTCATAAGTTACCAATTTCTAAAGGGTTTTAATTTTGGAGGTTATTGGTGGTTTAAAAAATTGCCCGATTATATCTTATTATCTCATTCCCAAACTATGTCCTTAGCCATCTTTTATTTTCCTTTGATTTGGAGACACAGTGACCAAGCCCTTTTGAGTGGGGATGTGTATATGTGTGTGTGTGTGTGCACGCACGTGTGTGTGTGTGATAGAATAGGTTAAGAAAATTGGGACATACATATCCTGTGTGTTAAACACACACCTATCCCTCCAACCTTGTTTCTGTTACCACAGAGGGACCAGATCAAGGCCAGGCATGGTGGGTCAGGGACACCGACTTTAGGAGACTGCGCTTTGGGAAACTGAGGCAGAAAGATCATTTGAGCCTAGGAGTTTGAGACCAGCCTGGGCAGCATAATGAGATCCCTATCTCTACAAAAAATAAAACAAAAATTAGGCAGGCTTGGTAGTGTGTGCCTGTAATCCCAGCTACTCAGGAAGCTAAGGTGGTAGGATTCCTTGAGCCCAGGAAGTTGAGGCTGCAGTGAGCCAAGATTGCACCCCTACACTCCAGCCTAGGTGACAGAGTGAGACCCTGTCTCAAAAGAAAAAAAACAACAAAAAGACTGGGTTAAGAATTACAGGACAAGGGTTAGAAAGATAAAGGGAGCAGGCAGGAAGATGGGAAGGAAAGGAAAGATGTCCTGAAAGTGAGTCTTGTTCATCATCTCAAGTGCTGAGATTCTTCAGCAGAAATTCATTTGAAACAACCTTAGGGGATTTTGAATTAGCAGTTATAGGGAGATGCAGAATAGGGTGACCCAAATCCAAAGCTAAGGAATGTATTTAAAATAGAGCCAACCTCTACTATGCAGGGAGTCGGAACAGGCATTTGTTCTATTTTTTCTTCTACCTCGTGTAATAAATAACAGGATCATAAGAGGAACTCTCATTAACTAAAACATCTCATCTGTAAGTATTACTCTATCAGGTACATTTTAAAAAATGGGATATTTACCCCCTAATATTCTTGGGAAATCAGTCACATTAACACCAACTCCTCTGTCGTAGTTTGAAGTAGTTGCTTTATATAGAATTTAAAAGCGTAATTTAAAAAGTTCTAGAAACATTGTGATGAAAGATGAAATTTATATTTTTCTAATTTCTTAAGCGTGAATGGTCACTATTAAAAGGCTGTTCAAACTTTAAAAACTGAACTATAGAGAACCTATAGGATCTACTTTTTAGCTCATGCAATACTGTTTCTGCCAGTGTTTTTCAGAGGGCGATGCGATGATGCTTGTGTAGCTTGCTTTAAAACAAAGCATGCTTTCCGTTGGCACATTCTGTTTGGTTTTTTTTAGAAAAAGATTTTTATTGGAAAATAAAATCAATTAGACTGCATAGCTATGCCTGGACCCCGACAACCAAACTGGCAACTGATCTGTAGTTGTGAAACAGTTTATCCACTATGATGCTGAATGTTTTGCCTTAGCAGGCATTCTCAGTCTAAATAGGCTGTCATTTGAGGGTCACGAGAGACACAGTGACTTATGTAATAAAGATTATGGCAGATCAAGTTCCTAGCCTCAGACAGTCTTTGCACAGCTGTCTGATGTATCCCAGCATATTATAGGGCATCATGGAATCCTTTGAGTTGGCAGTCATCTTTGTGTGATGTTAGTGAAGTGAAACCGCTTTATGATGCAATCTAAATAAGGCTTGTAGAATTCCCTGTTGGAGGGTTGTTCCGAAAGTCAACTTCCATGTTTTTTCGCTAGGGGCAATTTTGTCTCCCAGGGGACATTTGGCAATGTCTGGAGACATGTTTGGTTGTCATCACAGAGGAGGGGGGTGCTACTGGCTCTAATTGGGCAGAAGCCAGAGATGCCGCTAAATGTTAATGCACAGGAGAGCCCCTCCGCCCACAACAAAGACTTTTCTGGCTCAAGATGTCAATAATGCCAAGATTGAGAAACTTAGAACCAAAAAGTATGTCTCTGTAAATGCTCGCCATTCAGTTAGGCTTCACTCCTTGTAGGGAGAGTAGGGACAGGGGGAGTGTCCTGGAGTTGCTGTGACTTTATTCATTGAAATTCTAAGGTGTCTTAGAAATGAGCAAGAACAAGAAAGTGAAGTATTAGCTGATCATGGTGCTCATGTCTTAGAATGACTTACTCCCAGCAGGTTTGTGCCAGATCAACTCCATGGGGGTCAACGCCTTGCAAAAATGTCATGCTAGAGATGGAGACAAAGATAATTCATGCATCCCTGTAAGCAAACCTGAAGGACCAGGGGCTTTCTTGAGCAGACAGATTTCAAAGGGGGAAAGTCCTGGGATTTATGAATGAACTGCTTGGTCTGGGACTACACCCAACTCAACACACAAGTAGCAGGGAATTCATAGAAAGCCACCAGTCAAATTTACTCTTTCTTTTAATGGTTCAGTTTGGTAACAAAAAAAAAAAGAAGGAAAAAACATACATACATATATACATACACACAAAATTTTTTGAGAATATTTCATTCTCAAGATTATGCTTTTGTGCATGGCTATGTTTTACTTTTCTCTTCTTCCTCCTCAGTGTCCTTTTGGTCTTTGCAGCAGAAAGAAATCTGGGAGAGACAAATGTAATAATAGAAAAAGGGTGGTATTATAAAGACGAGATTAAAACTGGTAAAGTGAATTATTTTTCTTTTTGGAGTAAATTTATTGAATTGGCCACTCAGCAATTAATTTTTGAGCAATTGATGTAGAGCTTCCACATGCAATCTGGGTCAGGAGAAAGAAACTGCTAATTATCGTCTGCCATTTATGATGTTAAGAAGCAGAGCGCTGAGGTCATCTGTGTCAAGCCAGGTAGGTGAGAGACCCTTGTATTGGTATCTTCTGATCATCCTGGAGATACCTGCTGACATTTCACCTTGCTTTTCAGGGCTTTCCCCAAAAGACTAACATTAGGCTCCCAGCCACAGGCCAGGGTGCTCAGACAGGTACCACAACAGCTCGTTCCATCCCCGCTGTTGTTTCAGCATCAAATGTAAGCTTACGGAACCAGAGCATGAGAAGCCCTGGGTCCTTACGGTTAAGAGATAGAAGAGAATGAGATATGGCTCCTATAGCAAACATTGCTCTGTCATAGATGAGCCTTCTCTTAAGAACTTGGGGTCATGCATGCTTAATTGGGCCTTAATCAGGTGAGGAAGTGACTTTAGAAAGCCGAGTTCTTGATGAGAGCTGCATGTTTTCATCAGTAACCCAGGGCGATTCATTATATCAAGACTTTTAGACACAGGTGAGATTTGAAGGTGAAAAGAATGGCCAAGGAAGAGGCAGAAGGGAGATGAGAGATAACCACTGAAGGAGAAAGACGTGGCCATGGAGGTTAAATTGGAGTGGCTCATATTCTAGATGCTAAGGGAAGACAGGGAAAAAGCTGGTTGATTGGCTAATCCCAGCACTTTGGGAGGCTGAGGTGGGAGAATCGCTTGAGCCTAGGAGTTCAAGACCAGCCTGGGCAACATCTCCATTTGTAGAGACCCCATCTCTACAAATTATTTTAAAAATTAGCCGGGCATGGTGGCTCATGCCTGTGGTCCCAGCCACTTGGGAAGCTGAGGCAGGAGGATTGCCTGAGCCTGGGAGGTCAAGGCTGTAGAGAGGCATGATCATAACACTGCACCGCAACCCAGGCAACAGAATGAGTGAGACTGTCTCAGAAAATAAAAACAAAAGCTGGTAGACCCAGTGGACTTAAATTCCACCTCTGCTGCCTACTAGTTATGATTTGGGGCACCACTTTAGGCCTATAAACCTGTTTCCTTGTCCTCACAACAGAGCTATGGGTACATATTTCATACTCATATTCCTAAGTTCCTATGTATATCTAAAGTACCCAGCACAATGCCTGCCCCAGTTAGCTTTCTAATTCCCTGGAGACAGTGGGCAAAATTGCTAAATGCTAAATTGATTTTAAGAGGGTGAAACAGGTAAAATGGGATTAGGCCATTTTTTTTTTCTTCAAGAAGAGACTATATAATTCTTCAAGAATTATATTACTTAACGATATAATTTATCATCCAACCTTGAAGCCTTTGAAGAATAAAAAAGAATAAAATAATTCAAGTTGTATAATTTTTGAAACTTACTGACCAAAAAATTGGTTTTATCACATTAGTGGTGCTCTAAATAGTGCTACTCAAAAGCTAATTTCAAAAATAATTATCTCCAGGTTGAGGTGGGAGGGTTGCTTGAGCCCAGGAGTTGGAGGCTGCAGTGAGCTATGATCATGTCACTGCACTCCAACCTGGGTGACAGAGGGAGACCTTGTCTCTAACAACAAAAAACACCAGTTTTCTCTCCAGTAGGGTCTTAATATTTTCACTTCTTCCATAAAACTGCCTACAATCTTCTTTAAGTTGCCTTTATGGTTAATAAATGTAAAATGTTGATATTTTCAGTGAACTCCTCTGTAGACTACAATATTTTTAATTGGGCAATTAGTCTCTCTACAGTTGCTGATGTACCGGAAAACCTCAGAGAAAATTCTACTAAATGAAAGATACTTTCAATACCATTTTTTGTACTGAAATGTATTAATAACTTAATATTTTCTTTTTGCTTCCACTCAGACTAACTTAATTTGATGACTAAAAAAAAAAAAAAAAAAAAAACCCAGAACTTGTTAAATAAAGTGTTCCTATTTACGGTTAATTTGCCATATTGAAATGCTGCAAAATTGTAAGGCTTCTCAAGTGATTCTATTCCAATAGAGAATACAAATTTGCACAACATTGTAAGTCAGAATTTCATCAAATAATTTTTCTCAAATGTGGAGATTTTTCAAGTTAAATCTCATGCATGATTTGACCTCTCACCATTTACTTTGTTCGGTTCTTGTTTTTGTTGAGACAGATTTCAATGTCTTCCTGTTGGCAAGCTTTTTCTCAATCATTGCAATTGAAATTTAAGAGACAAAAAACCCTGAAATTTTGGTGCTACACTTGTTAAATACCTAGATTAAAGATTTCCAACTGTATTAGTTTCCTGTGGCTACCATACACATCACCACAAATTTGATGGCTTAAAACAACAGAAATTTATTATCTCACAGTCCCGGAGGCCAAAAGGCTGAAATCAGTTGCACAGGGCTGGTGCTTGCGGCAGTCCTTCACCCATGGGTATATCACTCCAGTCTCTGATCTCATGGTCACATTGCCTCCTCCTCTTCTGCTTGTGTCAGATTTTCCTCTGTCTCCCTTATAAGAACAAGGACACATGTGATGGCATTTAGGGTCCACTAGGATAATATAGGACAATTGCCCAGTCTCAAGATCCTTAATCACATCTGTGAAGCCCTTTTTGGCCATATAAAGTAACGTTCACAATTTTTAGGAGTTACGACTTATATATCTTTGACAGCCATTATTTGGTCTGATACACTAAATATTAAACAAATTACTGCTGGGCACAGTGGCTCACGTCTGTAATCCTAGCACTTTGGAAGGCCGAGGCGGGTGGATTGCCTGAGTTCAGGAGTTCGAGACCAGCCTGGGCAACATGGTGAAACCCCATCTCTACTAAAATACAAAAAATTACTTGGGCAAGGTGGTGTGCACCTGTAGTCAGCTACTTGGGAGGCTGAGACACAAGAATTGCTTGAACCCAGGAGGCAGAAGTTGCAGTGAGCCGAGATTGCACCACTGTACTCCAGTCTGGGCAACAGAGCGAGACTCTGTCTCAAAAAAAAAAAAAAAAAAAAAAAAAACCCACAAAACGAAAGTTTAGAAGATACATTCACAAAACGAAAGTTTAGAAGATACATTCACGAAACTATTCCACTGTAGGATGCTTAAGATGATTTATGAAGTAATTCTAAAAGCTGGAGGAAATGTGTGTACCACCAACCTATTTTGTTTTTGACATCAGCTTTATCACAAAGCTTTTTGATTCAGTTACTCTAAAATTGTATATAAAAATAGTGATACACGTTGACAAAGACAGTCTCTATTTCAATTGGGAAAATATCACAGCTTGTTTGAATTGTGTTTGGACCACAACCAGTTCCAAATACACTTTTGTTCCACCGGCTTCTTAATTTAGTAAAAACATTGCTTTTACAACAACTGTGTGCTCCACCAAAATAAGTCTCTGTATTACTTCTATATCAAATTACTTTATCTTCAGTATCTTCAGTGTTGAAGTTTTTAATAGAACTTAACAATAACATGCACGATATTGTTTCACCTTCAACACCTCAACAAAAATAACTTCCAGATATTACTGGAAATAATTGACTTTCTATTTGAAACGTGATGACTGATATAAAGATGGCATTATTTAACTCTTCTACTGATGAGTAAAACATGAATTAGACCATGAACAGGACATGTATTTATAGTCTAAAAGCTGACATAAAAAGCCAGAGCCTCGCCTTGTTTGACCCTGGCTGGGAATGTGCACATCAAATGGCCCACATTTTTTGCCACTCTGTGCATGTTCACAAATGACTGCAAAAGCACCAGAAGTACTGATTTTGGGGTAACATTTTTGTGAGTAAGTGAATTAGCAAATATGGAATCTGCGAATTTTGATGATTGATTGTATTACTGAGCTCTTTTCGAAGAAACAGGTATAAATTGATGGTGCTACTAGCAATTGTATGAGGATTCTTTTTCAGCCAACAATTATCATTGTCATTTCAAAAAATTGCTGAACTAAAATTTTAAGTACCTTATGGTTTTATTTGAATTTCTTTGATTAATATCATAGTGACAAATTATTTACATATTTATCAGTCATTTGTTTTTCTATAAATTTCCTGTTCCTTAACTTTATTTTTCTCTTAGGATGTTAGTGTTTTTATATGCATTTGAATGAATTTCGTATGTATGAAGTTCATAGACCCTATGACATATTTCATGTAAATATTTTTTTCCCAGTTTTCTGTTTGCCTTATAACTGGGTGTGCAGAATGTTTTGGCATGCAGAAAATTTGCATTTTTCGTAGCATTCTCAAATCCATCAAATTTTTCCTTCAGCTCTTTCATGATATTTGGAAAGAAAGGAAAGAGGCAGGTCTTTAGCTTGAAGGACTAGGAAAGTCCAGGAAAGTTTTACTCCTGCTTATTTTCCCTCTTCCTTTCCTTTCTTCCTTCCTTTCTTCCTTCTCTTCCTTTTTTAAAAAGATACTAAACCCTGAACTTTTTACTGATAAAGAGACTTGAAGTGAAAATACACCGAAGATAGAAGAGAAGGGATGTTTGATGGAGTATGTCCCAGAAGAAACAAGAATGATTACCACAGAGAGCTTAACTTCAATTCAGCAAGAAGAGCTTAACTTCAATTCAGCAAGAAGCATGACTTTTATTTTAAACTGGGGATGCTGAAGTAAGGAGCAATGAAGTGACCTAAGGATAGGTATTTTATTATCTTCTGTGCCTCAGAGGGCCTGGAGTGTGGAGGGTGCTCAACAGTTCTTCAGTAGCTGACATTTGGAGGCATAGCTGGGATCATAATCAAGAACTCTTCTTGGGAGGCTGAGGCAGGAGAATCGCTTGAACCTGGGAGGGGGAGGTTGCAGTGAGCTGAGATCGTGCCACTGCACTCCAGCCTGGGTGACAGAGTAAGACTCTGTCTCAAAACAAACAAAAAACCTCTCTTATTACACCTTTTTTTCTTTTTTTTTTAATGTACTACAATGAACTTTTAGCTTATTTGAGTACCATGCCTTACCAGTATACATTTGAAAGAGTATTTTTCTGATTGAAACAACATAATAATAGATAGGTACACCTTTAGCCCAGTGATATGAAGAGTCTTGGTCTCTATTGTTATCTCCTAAAATTTTCTTTGGAAATCAAGAATGAAAGGAGAACACTTCTATTTAGGCCATGTCTGCTCAATGGCAGAAAGTTAACTGCCTTTCCTGTCAGAAACTAACTTAAAGGACTTTAATTTTGTGCTGAAAACTGTATTGAAGAATGAATTGCCGAGAAAACCGCAACCCAGAATTCTTGTGGATCAAGCCAGATTGACTTATCATACCACCCAACGCTTTGTGGTGTACAGGGAGGATACTTGTTTGAATAAAACTTGTATGTTCTTGTGATTGTCAAACCAACCAGCGAAGGTGATAGAAATGGTCGCCTTCTCACAATAGTAGCTAAAGATGTGTTAATTTTTTTTTTTTTTTGAGACGGAGTCTCGCTCTGTCGCTCAGGCTAGAGTGTAGTGGCGTGATCTCGGCTCACTGCAACTCCGCCTCCCAGGTTCAAGCAATTCCCCTGCCTCAGCCTCCCAAGTAGCTGGGATTACAGGTGCATGCCACCATGCCCAGCTAATTTTTATGTTTTTAGTACAGATGGGGTTTCACCATGTTGGTCATGCTGGTCTTGCACTCCTGACCTCGTGATCCAAGATGTGTTAATTTTAGTTAGAACTACTTCAAATACATTTCACAGTTTTTACAAGATGGAAAGTGCTTTACCAGAAAGTATCTCAATAGAGGATTGGTTTTTGTTTGCTTTTTAAAACATTGATGCATTAATCAAGAAAATTGTCAGGGTAACTTACAAATTTTTGATTTTTGATGATACAGCTATATATGGTTTCATTTGGTATGTGAGTAGACACACAAAACAAAAATACAGGTTTAGAGTTACACCTTGTAGTCATCTTTTTAGGGGGAAGGAAAAATTAAACCAAGAACATTTCTTACACCAAAATAATCTCAAATGAAATTAGATGAATTTTCATTATACTTGGGATGAGATGACAATAAACTAAATCCTTCTGATTTTGTTATTTTTGGTTATATTTATAATTATCATTAGTTAGATTCAATTTATTCAGCGTATTTTCTGGCATCCATTTCTATTAAAGATTAAGAATGCTGCTTCAAGGACTGAATTATGTATCTTGCCAAAATGTAATTTTGATTATAATATTTATCTTGTATATCCAATGACAGATATATTTGAATAAAAAGCACCTGTAACAGTAATTCTCACCCTAGTTGTTGGAGAGCAACACACTAGAATCTCTTTGGGAACTTTTAAAACGTTGATGCTCAGCTTCACTTGTCATGAATTAAGTCAGAATTTCTGAGGGGAGGGACCAGCTACTGGCATTTTTATAAAAAGCTCCCCAAGTGATTTTTATGTGGTGTAGCCAGGACTGGGAACCAGAAATCTGTGTAACACAATGGTAATTTTTTAATACATAAATTAGCAGTTCACTATATTCAAGATAAAATGGTAACCATTTTTGGTACATCTCATAAATGTACATCGTATCATTCTTGTTATGAAGCTATTTAGATCATCTGGGCAGAATTTCACATCATCAGTCTCTTCTGTTCTTTTAAGCTCTCTAGTTATTTCTCCATTATTTCCTTGAAGTCTTAAAAAAACTTTGATTATTAAGAAGGAAAAACTTCATTGCCATTTTATCTTAATAATCAAACATTTGTTTCAAAAGTGATTTTCCTGTATCACTAACAGTCTTGTGGTGAGAATAGTAAGATCATAATTTCCTGGAGTTTTGTGTTATTTTCCCCAAAATAATAAAGCCCTCCTTCAACATACATACTGTTAGCAAATATTCTCTACTAACATTCTGATTTTAATGTAAGCAATATTTGACTTTATACTTTCATAATCATTAGATGTAATTTTATTGATTATTCATCAGTATCCCTTTCAACATTCCCCAATCCTAAATAAGCATGCATTTCAGAAAATTATCCTAACTGTATAAGTTCAAAGACTAAACTACAATAAATATATCACATAAGATTTCCTATTCTGTATAACTGTCCTTGGCATTGAACTTCCTGCCTATGACTTTAGGATATACTAAGAAGTCTAGGAAGACAACCTGAGCTGAAAACTAGGGTGTGTGTTTGTGTCTGGGTTGCTTTCATTAAATTATGGAACATTTCTCTTTCTCAATTTGTTTGAACTGAAAAACTGGATTAAAGACTTCCCATCACCTAACTTCAGGTTTTTTTTCCCAGCCAAAAGACTAGTACCTTAGTGTTTGCCTCACTGACCAACCACTTTTTAAATTTTGATTCATTTTATTAAACTTTTTATTTTGACCTATTTTCGACATACAGAAAAGTTGGAAAAATTGTATGAAAAATTCGTTTATGTCTCACCAGCTTACTTACCCTTATATGAACATCTTACATAACGATAGCACAATGGTCAAGAACAGAAAACTAACATCAGTATAATATTAATTATAGATGTTTTTCCAAATTTCACCAATTTTTCCATTATCCTTTCTCTGTTGCAAGATCCCACCTGGGATCCCACATTGCATTTAGTTAATTCTCCTTAGTCTCTTCCTGTCTGTAACAGTTTTTCAGCCCTTG